>NC_000005.10:90715867-91018897 GCF_000001405.40 Homo sapiens | reverse complement strand
AAAGTCAGAATGCTGTGACATCTTGAACCTCTGAATTCAGCAATGATTGAAGCCAGTCATTCGCCAACTTACTTAAGCTTTAAGGCTTAAGCCATGGCAGTTTACACTGGATTTCTGTCATTTGTATTAGCATGAATCCTAAGTTTGCTTCATCAAATATAGGGATATTTATTTATTGAATCAGTATAACTCTGCTTTAGAAGACAGCTTCATAAAGGAATCCAAATGTGACTATTTAACAAAAGGATTTAAGATTAATTTCTTAATTTATTTGTATGAATGTCCAGTTGCATTTTCCCCTTTAGCTGACTTAGGGCAAACATGGTATGCAAGACCTACAAGTTTCTTCTTTTTAGAAATGCAAAAGTTGCCTTTCACACCTAAGAACCCAAAGCAAACACTACTTGAGGTCAAGATACTGTGTAACATAAATCTCAGCTTTTCTTTCAACACTTCTCTTGAAGAGGCTCTGCCAAAACCTCTCTCCCACTATGCTGCTATGTAAATCTCCCATATCCAGTTTACCAAAGGCATCTCCCATGGAATCTCTGGCCAGGTCCCGGGACAGCAGAAGGAACTGTTTGAGAAATTCATCTGGAGCTGAGCTGTCTGGAGCTTCAGTTAACTCCACATATTTAAGGGCAGGGAGAATTGCAGTCTAGGAAGACCCCCTGGGATTGCCTGTAGGACATTCATCTTTCAGAACAGACAAGGTCAGAAGAGAGAAAAGATGCTCAGAGACTTTCAGAAAAGGTATTTCCTTCCCTTTCAGAACCAGGTTCTTTATTAGGTCTCTGTATATCATTTTCTTTTTCTAAGTGAATATAGAAGATCCAGCATGTACTTGTTAAAAACATAGTAGGGTAGATTATGAATACTCTCAATATAATATATTTGTTTTACATTCTTTCAGAATATCATATATACTTTATACTGCTGAATATATAAAATTATAGTTTTCTGTTAACAATTTAGTTATGTTGACTGATTGGAAGTGATTCTTTTTCTTCTAGGTCCATAGCTTTCAAACCTCAATCTGCATTAGAATCCTCTGAGGACTTGTTCAAAGTGCTGACACCCAGGGCCCACACTAGACCTGAGAAATAAGAATCTCTGTAGGAGACTAGAAATCGAAATTTTCTAGTGATACAAGTCACCTGGAAACCACACACTGGAAAACATTGTCCTGGGGGTAAATTCACATCCAAGGGCATACATACATTTGTACCTTATAACTCTACTTAACAACAATTCACATCACTGGTGACATGTCTACATCTTGATGCTTTTATCATAAAATCCTATTTACCAAGAGGCACAGCACAGAGTTCCAAAGAGCATGTAATAATTGCTCTGACTGGTTGTTTTGCCTGCAATCACCCCCTGTATTCATGCCACGGGAGGATAAAGTGTTCCTGACTCACTGCTGAAGTAACAGCACAATATAAACAACTTGAGCTCTCCTTCAGATAGGAAAGCAAAAGACATTTCATAGACCCCCACAGATCCACTGGTACATTTTAAATGGAAAATTTATCATTTTTTTTTTGGTGCTTATTTTATACTTTCATTTTGAACATGGAATTACAAAGAAGTACTTGCTGTATTATCTTTCACATTAGAATACATTCTGCCAATTGTGGTCCAAATGTAGTTCATGTGGTTTGGCGGCTGGTCAATCAGTATTGCAAGACAGAACAGCACCTCTTAATGAAAAATATGTCAAAATTGAAAGTTTAGCAATAGTAGATTGAACAAGGCTCTTCATGAGTCACATATATCCATTTTGAAAGCCATGCTTGTAGTAAGTCATGTTTGAAATGTGTGTCAATTCTTGTGGACTGCTTGGTACTACTGAGTGCAATGGAACAATGATTTCATAAACGGTTCTCCCATTGGAACTCTTCAGTTTATATCCTGAATATCCCTACGTCTTCCAATCATATTACAGTCTAGATCAATGTTAAAGTTCTCTTCTCTGTTTCTCTGTTCCCTCATTAGCTTCCCTTTTCATCCCTGTACTTTCTCTTTTTACTAACACCAAGGATTAATATCAGGGACTACTTTTATTACTGTATCTCTAGTGTCTACTAGAGCAATTGGCACATAGAAGGTGCTTAAAAAATATTTATTGAATTGATGAACAACAAAAAAATGAACTAAATGACTTTCTTTTCTTTGGTCACATTATCTTTTATTCCATTTTAACTTAGTCTATATCCTCAAGCTGGAGCAGGTGAGCGTCATCTCTGATTTTCACCATTTGCCACAGGATACCTAAAATTCATCAATCTGACCTTTGGTAGGCTTATAGGATTGCATGTCTGTTTCTTCTACTAATGATGCAGAGGACAGTGAATGGTTTTCATGAAATATTGGCCAGCATTTCCCCTACCTCCAAAGTCCAGAGGTTTTCTTTGTAATCAATAATCAGCTTAAGGAAATTAAGACAGAAAAAGAGACCAGGTAAATGACCTGGGTCACAAGTAATTTTTCTCTGCATTTGTTCACATGTGTGTGAAGCTTGCAGGGACTGAGAACTAGGATGGGGGCTAGAGTGTGTAAGAACAAGGACCCTCCAGGGTCTGGTAATTTCTAAAGAACTTCCTACCACACAATACCTGAAACCAGATAATGAATAAATCCTTAAAAAACACAAGATATTGTTTGTCATTGTTAAGGCATGGCATGGTCCAAATTAGCCAATTAAAGGCTGATTAATAATTTAAAAAATATAAAAATCTTCAACTAAAATTTCACATCCAGCCAAATTAAGCTTCCTACATAAAGGAGAAATAAGATCTTTTTCAAATAAGCAAATGTTGAGGGAGTTCATTACCATCAGACCTGCCTTACAAGAGATCTTGAAAGGAGCACTAAATAGAGAAAGACTGTTACCAGCTAATACAAAACACACTTAAATACACAGATCAGTGACACTATAAAGCAACTTCACGAACAAGCCAGCATAATAACCAGCTAACACCACAATGACAGGACCAAATCCAAACATATCAATAATAACCTTGAATGTAAACAAGCTAAATGCCCCATTTAAAAGGCACAGTGGCAAACCAGATAAAAAAGCAAGCCCCAATTGTACGCTGTCATCTCACACATAATGACACCCATTGGCTCAAAATAGAGAGATGGAAGAAAATCTACCAAGCAAATGGAAAACAGAAAAAAGCAGAAGTTGCGATTCTAATTTCAGACAAAACAGACTTTAAACAAACAAAGACTAAAAAACACAAATAAGGGCATTAAATATTGGTAAAGGGTTTAATTCACCTAAAGGACCTAACTATCCTAAATATATATGCACCCAACACAGGAGCACCTAGGTTCATAAGACAAGTTCTTAGAAACCTACAAAGAGACATAGACTCCCGCACAACAATAATGGGAGACTTCAACATTCCACTGACAGTATTAGATAGACCATTGAGGCAGAAAATTAACAAAGATATTCGGGACCTGAACTCAAAGTTGGACCAAATGGATTTGCTAGACCTCTACAGAACTCTCCACCCAAAAACAACAAAATATACATTCTTCTCATCGCCACATGGCACATACTTTAAAATCTACCACATAATTGGACATAAAACAATCATCAGTAAATGCAAAAGAACCACAATCATACCAAACACACTCTCAAACCACAGTGCAGTAAAAACAGAAGTCAAGACTAAGACAATTGCTCAAAACCATGCAATTACATGCAGATTAAACAATATGCTCCTAAATGATTTTTGGGTAAAAAAATGAAATTAACAGAGAAATCAAGAAGTTCTTCAAAACTAACGAGAACAAAGATACAAAATGCCAGAAACTCTGAGACACAGGTAAGGTAGTGTTAAGAGGGAAATTCATAGCACTAAATGCCCACATCAAAAAGTTAGATAGATCTCAAATTAATAGTCAAACATCACGACTCAAATATTAGAGAAGCAAGAACAAAGGAACCCCAAAGCTAGCAGAAGACAAGAAACAACCAAAATCCCAGCTGAACTGAAAGATATCAAGACACAAAAAAACCATTCGAAAGATGGAGTTGGTTTTTTGAAAAAATTAATAAGATATATAGGCCGCTAGTTAGATTAATAAAGAAGAAAAAAGATCCAAATAAACACAATTAGAAATGACAAAGGGGATGTTACCACTGCCCCTCACAGAAATAAAAATTACCATCAGAAACTACTACAAACACACCTTTGCATACAAACTGGAAAACCTAGAAGAGATGGATAAATTCCTGGACACATATACTTTCCCAAGACTGAATCAGGATGAAATAAATTCCCTGAACAGACCAATAACAAGCTCCAAAATTGAGTCAGTAATAAATAGCCTACCAACCAAAAAAAAACAAAAAACAAAAAAACTCCCAGGACCTGATGGATTTACAGCCAAATTCTACCAGATGTACAAAGAAGAGCTGGTACTATTTCTATTGAAACTATTCAAAAAAATTGAGGAGGAAGGACTCCTCTCCAACTCATGCTATGAGGCCAGCATCATCCTGATACCAAAACCTGGCAGAGAAACAACAAAAGAAAAACTTCAGCACAGTATCCTTGATAAACATCGATGCAAAAATCCTCAATAAAATACTTACAAACCATATTCAACAGCACATCAAAAAGCCAATCCACCATGATCAAGTAGGCTTCAGCCCCGGGAGTTCTTTCACCTCCCTGGTTAGCTGTATGTCTAGGGGTGTGTGTGTGTGTGTGTGTGTGTGTGTGTGTGTGTGTGGCAATTGTGAATGGGATTGCCTATGAGGCTACAGTAAGCAAAACAGCATGGTACTGGTATAAAAACAGACACATAGACCAACGGAACAAAATAGAGAGCCCAGAAATAAGGCCACATACCTAGGATCATCTGATCTTTAACTAAGCTGACCAAAACATACCATTGGGAAAAGACTCCCTATTCAATAAATGGTGCTGGGATAAATGTCTAGCCATACGCAGAAGATTGAAGCTGGACTGCTTCCTTACACCATACACAAAAATCAATTCAAGATGAATTAAAAACTTAATGTAAAACCCAAAACTATAAAATCCCTGGAAAACCACCTAGGCAATACCACCCTACACATAGAAATAGCAAAGATTACATGACAAAGACAACAACAGCAATCTCAACAAAAGCAAAAATTGACAAATGTGATCTAATGAAACTTAAGAGCTTCTGCACAGCAAAAGAAACTATCAACAGAGAAAACAGACAACCTATAGAATGGGAGAAAAAAATTCAAATTATGCATCTGACAAAGGTCTAATACTCAGTATCTATGAGGAACTTAAATTTACAAGAGGAAAGCAAACAACCCCACTAAAAAATGGGCAAAGGACATGAACATACACTTTTCAAAAGAAGACATACATGTGGCCAACAGGCATATGAAGAAAGCTCAGTATCACTGATCATTAGAGAAATGCAAATCAAAACCACAATGAGATACCATCTTACACCAGTCAGAACAGGTATTATTAAAAAGGCAAAAAATAACAGATGCTGTCAGGGTTGCCAAGAAAAGGGGACAATTATACACTGTTGGTGCTAATGTAAATTAGTCCAACCATTGTGGAAAGCAGTATGGTGATTCCTCAAAGAGCTAAAAGCAGATCTATCATTCAACTGGGTATGATATCCATAGGAATAGAAATCATTCTATCATAAAGACACATGCATGTGAATGTTCATTGCAGCACTGTTCACAATGGCAAAGACATGGAATCAACCTAAATGCCATCAATGACAGATTGGATAAAGAAAATGTGATACATATACACCATGGAATACTATATAGCCATAAAAAAGAACAAGATCATGTGTTTTTCTTGTGGGAACAAGGATGGAGCTGGAAGCTATCATCCTTAGCAAACTAACGCAAGAAGAGAAAACCAAATACTGCATATTCTCACCTATAAATTGGAGCTAAATGATGAGAACTCATGAGCACAAAGAAGGGAACAACAGACATTGGTGTCTACTTGAAGGTGGAGGTGGGAGGAGGGAGAGGAACAGAAAAAAATAACTATCAAGTAATAGGCTTAATACTTGAAATAATATGTAAAACAACCCCTCATGACACAAATTTACTTGTATAACAAACCTTCACATGTACCCCTGAACCTAAAATAAAAGTTTAAAAAGGAATTAAAAACATATATATAATTATGTATTTTAAACATTTATGAATATACATTACCATGGACCCTGTCTCAAGAGGGAGAAAACTGCTTTTTGTTTTCCACTTTTCCCTCAGCATTGAGCACATTACTTGACACATAGGAAATAAAGAAAGTAATGGGAGGAGAGCTACATAAATGATGATACAAGAAAATATGTGGTAAGTGTCATAAGATGGTTCAAATAAATAGCTATTCATAGGGGAAAGAACCCAGCTATAATGGAAATAAAGCAAGGCTTCTAGAAGGTCATGGAACCCTAAATAATTTAAAGGTCTAAAGAATATGATTTTAATAGATTATAAAGGAGAACTGAAGGCAACTTATTAATATAAATGGTATAAGAAAATGGGCGGAGAAAGGAAAGCGTAAGTTGTTCAATGGGGAATAATAACAAGTATTCCAACCAGACTGGAATAAACGGAATGTCTAACAGTTGTAGACCAAGCTGAAAGGTATCCAGGGACCTTGAACACTGGTTTAAGGGAAATCAAATTTTGTTTAGAAGTAAGTAGGAAACCAGCTACCAGGTGAATTGGCAATAGAGGAAGGTAGAACAACTTAGCCCCAGTGTAAAGAAAAACTGAACACGGTTAGCAAGCTATTGAAGTCGTTTGTATTTCAGGTCCTGGATTTAAGCAGTAATAGTGGGAATGAAAAGGAAAGGTTAAATGTGAGATACACTATAATGGTTAATCAAAAAGAAAGGGTAATTTTATTGGCCGTGAAGAGAGGGGTGGGGAATGAAGTGCTCAGATACCTGGGGGAATTTTCAGTATTGAAGGAGATTGTAGCTCATTTCCCAGGGAGAAGTGTTTTGGTGTAAATGGATAAATTGGTTAATTGCTACTACTATCCATGAAATGCAATTCCAAGCTAATAAAGTAGCTTTATTAACCACGAAACCATTTCTGTTAGCATTGCTTTTTTTTTTCCCCCCTGGCCTTATCAAATCTAAATGGGAAAAGCCTTTGTGAATGGAAAATACCGGCAATGTCGTAAACATATAACTTGATAATGATGATACTAGTTAGAGAAAGAACACAGAAATTTAAATTCACCATTTTCTAGTTTTATAGATTAGAGATGTTGGATATATACACAATGTATTAATATGTTAATACATATAGAGTGTCTACAAAAGTATTCTGAACATCATAATGTTCTAAATAGATGAGGTAAAATGTGGAGTGAAATTCCCTAGAATCTAGGCAGTAGTGCTTGTTTGCCACTTATTAGGGTGAAGATGACTAAATAAGGAAACTGATAACTCTGGAAGAAAGAGAAACAGACACACAACTGTGAAGAGAAGACAAATCCAAAACATCAGAAAAGAACTAGAAATAATATGTTCTTGACTATAAAAGTATTCAAATCCAATTTTTCTTCCTCAGAAAATAAAATAACTGGTAATACAATTTAGTGAAGACTTTACCATAAACATTAACAAGAAGTTGGATAGTTGCCAAGTTTTTCATCTACTAACTTTAAGGTGCTACTTTTTTATGTCCTCAACATTTTTATTATGAAAGTAGTAAAGCAAGGTTGTGATGAAGACAATCATACAAATCTAAAGCAGAAAGTAAAATACTCCTGATACCCCTTCCCCATCCCATTTCCTAGAGAAAACTACTGCTAGTAGATTGACGTATATTGTTCCATATTTTTTATGCATATTAACAATTGTAACATAAATTGAATTCAATATCTTTCTCTAAGAAATCATTCACTCATCAAATAGTGAGTTTAAGTGCACTATGCTGAAAATCCAAAGTCAAATGATATTGAAATTCTATTTTCAGGGAACTTATAGTTTAGTGGGAAAGAAAGGTAAATCAATTATTACAATACAGCACACAGCACTAAGAAAATATTACTTTGTCTAATAATTATTAAATAAATTTCAAAAATTTCAGAATATTTTCAGAGATTAAGATCAATACAGTTTAAATGAATGAAAAGTGATTCTTAGGATGCAAATTTGATTAACTTATAGAAAATTTACAGAAGGTTTCCACTGTAAGTAGTACATGATTTAGCATTTCAGATAAATCAGACAAAATTTCTTTGTATTATGGGGTGACTGTCATTTAAAGTACTCATTTCCTGGTGGGTTTAATATATGAAAATATCTTTGGCCTAAAACCTTTCATTTCATTTTTGGTCCACTAAAAATTCATCTAAATAAATGAGAACTTGATATCTCTATTTCAAATATTTCAGCTTCTCTTACAATTCATAAATATGCCTGCACAGGCCAAACAAAAGTCAATGAAAAGTCCCTCCAAGATCATCTGATTTCTGAGAACAAGCCTGGTGTTTTAACATAGCCTTTGTGTATAGTTGAGCATTTCCTTTTCTTTTAGAAGATGGATAGATGTGTGCTCATATTTAGGTGATTCTTTTGATCCACCCCAGGAACTGCGTATGAAACTACTGCTTCTCAGAAATGGTGAATTAGCTCATTATTTATTTCTAAGGAAGCCTGTGTGTCATGTTGTAGTTAGCTTTTATGCATCCCCATTCATTTTGTTCCCCTATTAACACAGACTTCCTAACCCGGCCAGTTTTTAGTAATTCATGTTTAAAGACTATTATGTTTGTAATCTACCATAGGCCAATTCTTACGAATGAAATGCTAAGATGATAAGAGTAATTACCAGAGTAACCCTGATCAAGTCAACATTTTTTTTTTTGCTCTGTAATGCCTTAATGGAACTCAAAAATTAAAGCAACTTGTGATGTTTTAAGAAACACATGAAATTTGTACTTATAATTTATACAACTATCCTTAATTTATTGAAACATATTTAATTGTATGTCCTTAATTTTCCGATGCTTTTAGTCTCTCTTTCTCCTTGACTCTAAATACCTGAAGGGCTGTGATAGAATGTTTTGAAATCCAGTCAATTTAGTGTGGTGAATTAGTACTATTTTATAAACACATATTATATAACTTTGGTTCATGACATGACTAATTAATTTCTCTTTAGCTACTGCAAAATAGAAAAAAAACTTACATGGAATTCTTTTATTAAAATCATATTCAAAAGTTATAGCTTTTAGAAAAGAAAATTTCCAATTATTTTTCATTATCTGGTTCTAAATGTCTGTTATAGACAGATATTTACTATATGATAGAGCAAAGATTACAGGTATGAACATTTAGAATAAAAAATAAAATTTATTCTGAAATCTCTCAGAAATATCTAATTTCATCTCATGGGACGGATAACAGTAAGTCATTCTGTTATTCTTGGAACACACTAGAGCTGTATTATTTGCCTTGTCTTGTTTCAATTGTCTCCAACAGGACCAGTAAGTACAATCTGAGACCTGTGGCAGAATTGCAATAATGAGTCTATAAGAGTTTTTATCCGAGGAAATCCCAACAATTCTTGATGTCACATCTATTCTCTTTATCATCTGCCTTGATGAAAGATCATTTTGCCCAGATTCTGTGAGTGGAAAGTCATAGTTGCTCCCTTTGACCTCATATCTATACAAAGGAAAATGTCAAGCTTGAAAGAACTCAGGGAATGATCAACAGTTTTTGTGTTACTCTGTGATTTACTTCTATGAACAACACATTTTGAGAATTTTTATGAATTGAAGAGATAGCAAGCTGCATATAAATGCAACAGATTATCTGAGGATAACATCAGTATCAATTTAAGGGTCAGAATTAGTGTTCCTCCTCCACTACAAATATGAATTTTTTCTAGAATCCTCTGAAAATGTCTGTTGTGATTTGTCAATATTCACTTTCAAGGAGCCATGTAAAATACTGTGCTGGGGCTGGTTTGTACTAGCTCTATGAGAACTGATGGTTAAATTTTCAAGAATTTGGTGAACCAGTTATTAAACACAACCATTATGTAAAATTATACAGGCCAGACATGGTGGCTAACACTTGTAATCCCAGCACTTTCAGTGACCGAGACGGAAGGATATCTTGAGGTCAGGAGTTTGTGACCCGCCTCAACATGGTTAGACCCCCTCTCTACTAAAAACACAAAAATTAGCCGGGCATGGTGGCACCTGCCTGTAACCTCAGCTACTTGGGAGGCTGAGGCACAAGAATCACTTGAACCTGGGAGGTGGAGGTTGCAGTGAGTTGATATCATGCCACTGCACTCCAGCCTGGGTGACAGAGCGAGACTCTGTCTCAAATAAATAAAAAAATAAATAAAATTATATAGACTTACAATTAAGTAGATTAAAAGCAAAGGTAATAAATACTGAAAACTCATGACTTCTTAATTATTTTGCTACATTTTATTATTATTCATGCATCTACTATATCTATCTGGTAGAAATGCCCCAGAATAGTGTGCCGTATGCATCTCTTTCCAATTCTGTGGTCAGTGATTCTCCATTGGTAGTTTGGAAGCTACCACGTTGGGAGAATTTAAAACACAGAAATTAACTGATGCTCCAAGTCAGTTGTCTCCTGACCACGGAAGTCAGCTGTTAAACATTTACCAGCACAACACTGTCAGGATAGGTTCCTGGATTACAAAAAAGAATGAGACATCGCCTTTATAAATATTATGACCTAATATTTATTTATGAGAGATAAATATTTGACTGTAAGATATCTTCTAAATGATAAAATAGGGGTTAAAGCCATTAGAAAAGAAGAAAGAGACACAATTAATTTTGCTTTAAGTGTCCTGAGGACGTGTCATAGAATAACATAGAATAATAACCTTTGAACTAGACCTTGAAAGTTGAGTAAAAAATCATTTGGCAGAGATGGGAAATGCTCTTCTAAAAAAAAGCAAAGGGCAAAATAGGAAATAATACTATTAGTAGTATAATTGAATATGTACACAGCAGTGTTTCTCAGATTTTTCCACTTAGAAAAGTGGCAAAGAACGAATGGGTAATTCTGGTGATCTGAAGTTGCAGCTTTAAAAGGCCCACTGCTAAGATGGAGTTTCTTTGATTTCTTCTGTTTCATCCTAAAAATGCACTGGAATTTCCCATTATCTTTCTTATGTATTTTCACTTGCGATACGGCTCTGTTCTCTTTTCCATCTCAACCTCTCTGCAAGGTAGGGGGAAGTCTTTCAGTACATCAAAATACTAATACTTAAAGCTATGAGAGAAAAATCAATATTATCAAGAAAAACATTTGTATTTCTTATATATGCTCTGTTCTGAGGATATAAGGATTCACCAGTAACCTTTCAAAATGGAGACAGAAATGGGCATCTTTGACCGTGACCACAAGAGGCAGTAGCAGGATGGAGTAGGACCCAGGGGAGAGAAAAGGAAGTAGGTAGGGAGATCAAAGGAGGAAAAGAATGGAATGAGTCTAAGCACTGAAGGCTACACTATGAGTATATGTTAAAAAACATTTTGTATTAATTATCAGGAGCCAGTAAAGTGTGGTCTTTCTTGTAATGAACCAGAGGTAGATGTACCATGAAGCTAATGAAGTTTAAGTGTCAGGGCCACTCACTTGCATGGCCCCTTCCAGGGTCAGGAGTGGCCCCAGCAATATGTTCAACTGGTGAAGATTTTTTGTTAAGTTTGTAAAACTAAGATATTTTAATTACGATTAGTTAAGGCCACTGTCTTTTCAATCCCAACTTTCCTTCTGGCATAACCGCTCTTGCATTGGGTATATTGGAATGACTGGTAATTTGGGATGTGGTTAAGGGGAAGTTCAGATGAGATTTAATTTTGCTGGAGTGTGTGGGAAATATTCATGTGGCTTGCAGGCACTTCCACTTATCATGAAGTCATTGTTGGCAATCACCCACTGTACCACCTCCTGTGGCAACAGTGACAGGGACATGCAGGGTCAGAGGTTATACAAAGATATGAAAATGTCCAACTGGGTCCAGATACAGAAGAACAGATACAGAAGCTGATCTATGAAAAATGCTTCCAATTATCATACCCGTATTTCTCTTTTTATCAGAAAGATATCTAGTATATTAAATTATAAATGCTTAATATACTTATTTTTAATTTAAAAAATCACATGAAGTAGAATTTATGAGGATTCTGTCTTTGTTGTGAATAATCTGTAGCAATACTATGAACAGTGAGAACATCTATGAGTATAGGAACAGATTTCAATTGACCGTGTTAGAGGAAGTACTTATCTATCATTCAGGTTTCTCCATAGAACATCTTACTAATTGATACCATGCAGAGAGGTGATCAAAAAGTATACAAAAATTTTGTGAAAAAAATTAGAGAGGTATGTCTGACAACTAATAATAAAGTTACTTTATTTCTGGATTTTGTATGTTTGTGGTGTTTGTCAAAATTTTAAGTACACAATATGTTGTGACTTTTTTCTCTTTACAAATATTCATTTTTGTATCTAATTTTGGATTTGCAATTTTGTACATATTTCTTATGGTTGGCTTTCCAAATCACAGACATGTCAGTCTCCTTGAAACCTGCATCTGCCCCTGTAAGGCTCTGTACCTGTATTCCCCTTCAGACGTCACAGGGTATAACTTGTGTAGTATAAAAATGGCATTTTAACTTATTTACCAGCTGAGCTACTTTAAAAAATCCTAGATATTTAAATAAAATTAAACTTCCAGGAACATGGGCGATGTCTATCCTGTGGCTCTGTGACTCTGGCCACTCTACAAGTATTCTAGTTTGAAAAATACAGACTCAGGGCTTAGCAGGCATGAGTGGCTATGAAAGGCTGGGAAAATGAAGGTTGGGGCCAATGAATTAAGGACATTGCATACTGTGTAGAAGAGTCTGGATTTTTTTTCCCCAGGGATTTAAAAATTCCTGAAGGGTTTTAAGCAGATCTGTGTTTTGGAATGAACTATAGCGATGGTAGAGGCAAAGCATTGGAATGGGGGTAAATGATATAACTGGTTTTGAGGCTATTGCAATAGACTTTGCTCAAGATCATGAGGATTTGAATTAGGCCTGTGAAATAAGAATGGACAGGAGAGAACAGGTTTTAAGTGTTATCGAAAGGATCAATAACCCTGTGACTAACAGGATACAGAAATTGGTGAGAGAGTGCTGCCAAAGATGACTCCAAATGATCTAGCTTGAGCACCTAGAGGAACAAGACTGTGGATAATAAAGTAGGAGAGTGCAGCATAAGCAGATTTTTCACAACATAAATAGCAATAGACCAGCCTGGGCAACACAGTGAAATCCTGTCTCTACTAAAATACAAAAAAGAAATTAGCCGGGCATGGTGGCGTGTGCCTGTAGTCCCAGCTACTCGGGAGGCAGAGGCAGAAGAATTGCTTGAATCCAGGAGGCGAGGTTGCAGTGAGCCAAGATTGCGCCACTGCACTTCAAAAAAATATATATATATATACACAGCAATAGCAAACAAATTGGATTTGTTGCCTTACAAAGTTATGATACAATTTTAAGATATAATTTTAAAATTCTGTTAAATTTCTTTACATAAGTATCTTACGTTGTCTTTTTCTGTTAAGAGAAGGTAATTTTGGTTTACAAGCCATATCTTAGGTGATATTTTAGCAACAAGAAACTTAAATCAGCCAACCAAATAGTTTTTTGAGCATTTACTCTGAAACCAGCATAAAGAAGCTATAAAGTTTAAGATGAATTCTGAGAAAATATACAAAATATCCACTTAAATTTAGTGTAGGGTTGAATGTGGTGCATTTAACAACAATTTAAAAAATATGTCTGTACTTTAGGTTTATAAAAGAGAACAAAATTATAAAACATTGAGGGAAGAACTTCAGAGTTCATTCAGTTAACTTCCATTCAATGCTTGCCTCTCCCAGTCGATTCTCCAGGCCTCCTTTTTGGCTATGTCAGTTATTCATTTGAAGAAAGCCATGCTCTCTCCCCTAGGACTTCTCACACTTGAGCCCTCCCCCTCGCTTCTATCTGTGACCCTCTCCATGATGGCATATGACATCCTCCTAACCATCATGGCCATTCTCCCCCTGAAGCCCCAGTGTTTTCCAGCATTTCTCTTTAGCTTTAGAATTCACAACAAATGATTAAATCAATACTTAGGTACATTTATTAAAGCAATCACAAAACAACTCAACTATATCCAGTCTATATTTCACCATTTCATCCTTAAGAAAGTCAGGAGTCAAAGTGAAAGATTACAATGTCTATAGCATTCTCCTATGTTGGTATACACCTTGCAAAGGAAGTTGGTCTAATAGTATACATAATCTTCTAGTTTATCACCACTTTCTTTCCCTAAGCGTTCCCCAAAAATCAGATGAATAAGATATTTTACGAAATTTTTTTTTTTTTAGGACCGGGAGGATTCAGAATCTAATTTATAAAGCCGATAAATTAGATTTTGAGGATTCATAAGATGGTTGAGATTTATAAATTAGATTTATAAAAATATTTGCTTTTCATTTGTTTTCCATTACGAAACTGTCCTGCATGCTACATTCCTCAAAGTCAGTTCATCAGGTTCTCTCATATTTGAATATTATCATTCATGCAGGAAGAAAATACAATGTTACTTAGAACACCTAGATGCTTTTTCATCAGTTCACTTATCTGATAGTTGGAAGTCTTTTACAGGTAGCCTTCCCCCATCCCCAAATATTCTATTTGACAGAGAAGATTGAAGCAAAATAGGACTTAAGCTTCTTTCCTTTTTCTAATACTGTAACATCTCCTTATAGTCGACATTTTCTCCAGTGTTGAGTGCATGTTTAATCTGAATGTATACTTTAAATGGCCTCTCTTTTCCTACAGTTACCATTTCATCATTTTTTAGCAAGCCTCACTTCATTTTAGATTTAAGCTTCCCTTTTTCTTACATTGGCTATTCTTTTCCCATTAATGATACTTTCCTACTTTCTTTCATTATACATGTCCTTCTTACATCTGAGTCCACCGGGAAGAATACATGTACCCATACTGATTTTGATGACTGTAAATATTTTTCTTTAAAATTATTCCCAACCATTCCATTTGAACTTAACTTTTGAAACTTTTATTCCTCTGGCACTCTTTCCTTTCAGTACCTCTGTTCATGAAATATCCAATTTTTGTCTGAGTGTTTAAAAATGGATCTTCCTAAATTTTAGTGTGTACACACATTTAATTACGTTCAGGATTTCCCTCCCTGTTTATCAAGGGCTCCACAAGGCGAGATGTTTTCTCCTGGGATCTCGTCATTTCTATTTCTAGAACTGAACAGAATTATGTCAAGTAGTTTGCCTCACTGCTTCCTCTACCTTCAGAGAAACTGTCAGATAGTCATATAAAATATCACCAGTGACTGTGTTTTAAGCAGAATAGGATTTCTAGCGTATGTTTCAGAGCAGCTATGGATCTGTGGATAAGTCAGATACATGTGGTTTAATTCTAGCTGTGCTACCTATAATTATTCTGTCCCTGTACCTCATTACACCTTAATTTCCCAAGAAGAAACAAGTTACCTAATGGTTTACCTGGTATTCACTCAATTAAAAGGCGCAGGATTTCTATCCACTAAAAAGCTGGGCAGCTCAAATAATTTCTTTTTGGGACTGAGTACCACCTTTTCTTATGCTAGCAGTCCATCCCTTCAACCAGTCCTAATTACCTTTATATACTGTTTAGAGGCTGCAGCTCACCAATTCCACATGAGTAGCTGAAGTAAAGGGACTGTGTTAGAGTGTGGTACCCTGGGAGGTAAGGAAAGATCTATTACACAGGTACAGAGACAAGAAAAACCTCAGGAGTAGAGTCTACTGGGGGGCTGACATTTTCCATATATTTCATTGGTTTTTAAAGTATCAGATAACTAGGCTATGTAGGTAACAGTAGGTAACTACCACATCCATCTTACAGATCTGTAGTAAATGAATACTTACTAATCACTGTTAATTGGGCTATTATAATGTACATACATTTAAAATTAGGCTCTATATTTGAAAATGGAGATTCTAAGAAGAAAGTGAACAGAACCAAAGTCATAACTTCATGTATTGGACAACATGAGGCCCCATGGGGATCTCATTCTAGAATGAGTAAATAAATTTAACAAAAAATATCAACATGGGTACATGAGAAGAAAAAGTGAAAGCCCTCAAATTCAGAAAAAAAAGATAATAATTTTGAAAATTATTAAAGGGGCCAGAAAAAATTTAGAAAATGGCTTGGAAGTCTAAATAGGATCCAAGAAGACAAACCCAAAGGAAAAGAAGCAAAATAAGGCCCAAATAAAGGTTGTCTGAGGGATTTAACAAAAGAGGAAAAGAAATGGGGGAAAATGAAATAACACCTGACATTCGCATTGGAAGCAGTAATAAGCAAAATGACACTGCAGAATCCAAAATCACTTTCATAGCAGACAAGCTGGAGAAGCTGTGACAGATGCATGGGATAAAGTCAAAGAGCTGCAAACTGTTTTTAAAAAACACGATTATTATGAACATGAAAGACAAAGTACTCACAATACTTTGACGTCTCTGATTCCAGAACAATGAAAAAATAGCAAATAGACTGTGTAAGATTGAAAAATTTCATTGAGCAGAACACACCGCGTCTGTGGACTTAGGAGCCCACCCAAGACCAGACAAGTTTAAGAAAAAATAGCTACAATTATATATACTCAGCTCAAAGTTTTACATTATAGAAATAAAAATATTAAGATCTATAAGCATTCATGAAGGTGAAGAAAAAATTTAACTAAATGGAAAAATATCAGGCTAATCTCTTTAACACAAAATGCTAGAAAAAACAATATCATATTTTCTGAGTTCTGATGTGAATAATATCAAGCAAAAATAATGTTACAATATTTAGTGTCATAGGAAATAAACACAGCTTGCAATTGAATTAGCAACAACTGAGAGAAAAAGACACAAAGAGAAAAGAATTAGAGAAAATATAATGCAAATGTGTGAGATAGAAAGACCAAATAAGTTAATTGATATTCAGGAAAAAAAGAACCCTCCAAAATGAAATGGAATAAAATGGTATTGAAAGATGTAATTGAAGAAAAATGTTCTGAAACATGCAATAAAAATATACAAAAAGTTGGATAGATTTTACTGCAATTTAAAAACATAAATCACAAAGCGTGGCAAATATTTTCATCGAATACTACAAAGTAATAGCTTTAATAGGAACAAAGTTCTCACAAATCAATAACAAAACAAGAAAATGGACAAAAAATACAAACAGTTTGTAAGTACAAAATGGCCAATGAATAAATAAGAGTATGCCTAAACTCCCTGGTCTCATTAAAAAAATAGCAACAAAAACAATAACATATTATGACATGTGATGGTTAATTTCATGTGTCAACTTGAAATATGACATAATACTTTCACTGCAGACTTCTTAAAAAATGAAAAATGGCCAGGTGCAGTGTCTCATGCCTATAATCTCAGCACTTTGGGAGGTCATGGTGGGAGGATTCCTCCAGGTCAGCAGTACAAGACCAGCCTGGGTAACATAGTGAGACCTGGTCTCCACAAAAGATAAAAATATTAGCCAGGTGTGGTGGTACATGCCTGTAGTCCCAGCTACTAGGGAAGCTGAGGCAGGAGGATCACTTGAGTCCAGGAAGTTGAGGCTGTAGTGAGCCATTACTGCACCACTGCACTCCAGCCTGGGCAACATGAGACCCTGTCTCAAAAATAAAAGAAAAATGGAAACACAAAGGAGAACCTAACTTGACAGATATTTGGTCAAACATTATTCTGGGTGTTTTTTGTAAGAATGGTTTTAGATGAGATTAACATTAAAATTGGTGGACTGAGTGAAGCAGATTGCTCTCCCTACTGTGGGTGGGCCTTATCCAATTAGTTGAAGGCCTGAGGAAAAAAGGCTGATCCTTCCCCGAGTAACAGAGAATTCTTCCTGCCCAATAGCCTTCAAACTGGGACATCATTTTTTTTTCCTGCCCTTGTACTCAAATTGAAACATCAGCCCTCCTGGTTTTCCAGCTTGCCAACTCACCCTACAGATCTTGAGCTGGCCTCCATGACAGTGTGAGCCATTCCTTATAATAAATGTCTATAAACACACACACACACACACACACACACACACACACACACACAGATCCTGTAAGCTCTGTTTCTCTGGAGAGTCACCAAAAGTAATGGCAAAAACCACAATTACTTTTGCATCAACCTAATATACAATATTTACTATCAAAATCATACTGCTAATAAAACAATTAAGACTAACTAGCTCTTGCGTTGGGAGACTGGTACCTTCAAAAAATGTTACGATTGTAAATTTTCAACCTTTCTGGAAGACAGTTTCATAATTCCAATATTTCTAAAAATCTTATATCCTTAATCTAGTAATTTCATTTCAAGGGATCTGTGAAGTAGAAATACAACATAGCACATTCACTGCAGATTTTTAAATATTAAAAATGGGGATGGAGAGAATTTTAACATTCAATGCTGAGGAAAGGTAAACATGTTTGATAAATCTATCATGAGACAGACATTGTGAATCCATTAAAAAATGCTGAGGTATACTCAATGCATGGGAAATTCTAATAATATAACATTGAGTGAAATAAGCAGGAGATAAAATTGAGAGATCTCAATTTTCTATTATAAAACAAAAATGTATAAATCTAGACATAAACAGAAACACATCAAGTGTTTATATCTGAATGATGAGGATACCTCTGATTTTTATTTTTATTGTATATTTTTGCTTTCCATAATTTCTAAAATAAATATTGATTAATTTTATAAGAAAAATATAACATTATTTTCAGAAAAAGAAAGAGTAGGCAGATCCTTGCTTCTGAGAAGCTACAAAGTAAATAATACAAACCTCAAATCAATTGTCAGAAAATCCTTTTGAGCCAGGAATGGTTTTTCTTAAATTGTATGAAGTATCCTGTTTGACAAGATGCTTACATTTGCAGGTATTCCCTTTTTCATTAGAGACATCTACAACAGAACTTCCTCTATAAAGAACTGTTTTCTTTCCTGAATAATACACACTTGACCATCTGTGGTTGTACGAGCTTTTTCAGTTTTCCAACTGGAAATCTTTGAAATACTGAAAAAAACTTTGCATTATAGAGCTTCTGACAACAAAAGGTGCCCAATTTTCCATTTTATCACTAAAATTTGTAATGGGAATAAAAAAGATGAAATGTGATCTCATGAATATCTCTATCATTACAACTCTGCCACCCGCAATTTTACAATTACCTATTTCCTAATGCTCTATTCCGCTTGATATTTCAAATGCCTAAATTCTTAGCACTTTGCATTAAAAAGTAATCATTAATCTTCCTGATTCTGCATCTAGTTAATAAATTAGGATGAATATAGACTGAGACTCTTATGGCAACATATGTTTTCACCGTTTTAACCCTGAGTTAAAGTTAAACATAACTTTAAATGTTCTCAACATGTTAACTGTACTATTATTGTAGATGGAAAATTGAATTAGCACACAAAATATTTAAAATAATTATCTGAAACAATTTGATATCATACAAAAACTCATCTCATATTAAGATGTAAATTTCCTTAAAAATAGATAGGAGAAAGATGTGTTAATAGAGAAATAAAAATTCAGGAGAGACAAAAGCTAATAGCTATAATATAGCCCACCTCACCTCCAAAAGAAAAGAAGGAAACAAGAAAAGAGCAAGAACAAAGCACACTCTCTAAATCATTGAAAAACATGAGCAAGCAATCAGAAAAATTAATGTAGGGAGATGAACAAGTAATCCAAAAAAGAAACAAATGCTGTATAAATCTATGCAAAGATATTCAAACTCACAGGGTTGTATAAGAATTAATGAGAGTATGCACTTAGTAGAGTGTCTGGTACATGATAAATGAAGCTATTAAAACATAACTAATAATTAAAGAAATACAAGTTTAAGGTACTATATATGTGTATATTTAGGTGTGTGCAAATCACACTGGCAAACATTAAAAACTTATAATTCCCAGAGTTGGCAAGAATGTTGGGAAACAGGCACTGCCATTATTTGTTGCTTTAGTGTAAACACGTGCATCTTTTTAAGAAAACACTTTGACAATATCTTTTAAAGTAAAAAATTATACATATATCATTGAGTCATTCCACTGCTTGAAATTTTCCCTATAAAAATATTAACATAAGTGTACAAAGATACCTATATATGGATATTCATCACAACAATGATAAAAAGAAGAACTAGAAATAGTTCAGAAGTCTGTCAAAAAGGTTGATTAAATCAACACAATAGAACATTACAAATTATAATGTAATGGGTATTACATACTGACACAGAAAATGAGTATTACATACCGATACAGGGTATTACATACTGATAAAAAGCAAACTTTTTATTTACTTTTCAGTAAATAAAAAGTAAATTGGAAAGTGCACATGATATCCCATTTTTGTTGTGATTGTGTGTAAAAAAAAATAATGCTTACTTTTTAAGTCACCCAGTCTATGGTATTCTAGTACAGCAGCACTCACCGACCAAGACAGTCTCATAGAAGACTGTAAGCTTTAGAGACATTTTTCTTTCTCATTTATGATGAAAATAAAACAAGCTCCTAACTCAGGTTGGTAGAAGCTTCTGAGTTTCAGAAATATTAAAGAATTTAGTGCTTGCAATCTTTATGTCAAACATGAGTGCAGAAGAAAAGGATGGAAATGATGTAAATAATACTTTCAAAATAGCTGGAGATAGCAAAATGGTAAGCAACTCTTCAGGACTTACAGGGTCAACAATGTTTAACTGGGCTTGTCTGATTGTTTACATGTAATTACTACTTCATATGAGACACACATTCATAGACTTATACATATGGCTCTCACTTATTGTCCCCTGCTCTGTGCCAGGTACTGTACATGCATTTTCCCTAGACACATCATCTCGCTTAATCCACATCACAATCCTAGGACACAGGTTTTATGATGCCCATTGCACAGATGGAAAACTTCAAGCTCACAGAGGGTAAGTAATTTGCTCAGTGTCACACAACTAGAACATGCCTGAGTTGGTATTTGACTCATTGTCTATCTACCTCCAAAGCCCCTGCTCTTTCCACTGTACTCCAATCAAAGATAATTTTAGAGGCATATCTTAAGATATATTTAGTACAATGAGTTTGTGAAAATGTAATTTTAGGTCTTTGTATTTCAGTACCTGGGTATTCTAGATATGAAGTTGTGTTAGTCTATTCTCACACTGCTATAAAGAACAACCTGAGACTAGGTAATTTATGAAGAAAAGAGGTTTAATTGACTTATAGTTCTGCAGGCTGTAAAGGAAACATGGCTGGGGAGGCCTCAGGAAACTTACAATCATGGCAGAAGGTGAAGAGGAAGGAGGCATGTCTTCAATGGCCAGAACAGGAAAAAGAGAGAGCAAAGGGGAAGAAGCTACATACTTGCAAACAACCAGATCTCATGAGAACTCTATCGCAAGACAGCACTCTGGGGATGGTGCTAAACCATTAGAAACCACTCCCATAATCCAATCACCTCCCGCTAGGCCCCACCTCCAACACTCGGGATCAGAATTCAACGTGAGATTTGAGTGGGGATACATAACCAAACTATATCATACTACCACTGTCCCCTCCCAAATCTCATGTCCTCACATTTCAAAACACAATCATATCTTCTCAACAGCCCCCAAATATTAACTCATTTCAGCATTAACTCAAAAGTTCAAGTCCAAAATCTTATCTGAGTCAAGCCAAGTCCCTTCTGCCTATAAGCCTGCAAAATAAAAAACAAGTTAGTTACTTCCAAGATACAATGGTTGTACAGGCATTGGGTAAATGCTCCCATTCCAAAAGGAAGAAATTGGCCAAAACAAAGGGACTACAGGTTCCATGGAAATCCAAAACCCAGCAGGGCAGTCATTAAATCTTAAAGCTCCAAAATAATCTCTTTTGATTCTATGTCTCACATCCAGGCCACACTGACACTAGGCGTGGGCTCCCAAGGCCTTGGTCAGCTCTGACCCTGTGCTCTGCAGGGTACAGCCTCCACAGCTGCTTTCATGGGCTGGCATTGAGTGCCTGCTGCTTTTCCAGGCACATGGTGCAAACTGTCAGTGGATCTACCATTCTGGGGTCTGCAGAACTGTGGCCCTCTCCTCACAGCTCCACTAGGCAGTGTCCCAGTAGGGACTCTGTGTCGGGACTCCAACCCCACATTTCCCCTCTGTACTGCCCTAGTAAAGGTTCTCCATGAGGGTCCTACCCCTGCAGTAGACTTCTGTCTGGACATCCAGGCATTTCCATACATCCTCTGAAATCTAGTTGGAGTCTCCCAGGCTTCAACTCTTGTACTCTGTGCACCCACAGGCTTAATACCACGTGGAAGTTGCCAAGGATTCTTATGGCTTGCACCCCCTGGAGCGGTGGCCTGAGACATATCTGCGGCCCTTTTTGCCACAGCTGGAGCTGGAAGGGCTGGGATGCAGGGTATCATGTCCTGAGGTTGCACAGAGCAGTGGGGCTCTGAGCCTGGCCCACAAAACCATTTTTCCCTCCCAGGCCTCTGGGCTTGTAATGGGATAGGCTGCTGTGAAGTTTTCTGAAATGCCTAGGAGGCATTTTCCCCATTGTCTTAGCTATTAAGACTCAGCTCCTCTTTACTTATGCAATTTTCTGCAGTTGGCTTGAATTTCTACCCTGAAAATGGGTTTTTCTTTTCTACCTCATAGCCAGGCTGCAAATTTTCCAAACTTTTATGCTTTGCTTCCCTTTTAAATATTTCAGGTCATTTCTTTATGCAAATGAGCATAGGCTTTTAGAAGCAGCCAGGTCACATCTTGAACATTCTGCTGCTTAAAAATTTCTCTTCTGCAAGGTACCCTAAATCATCTCTCTCAATTTCAAAGTTCCAGAGAGCCCTAGAGCGGGGGCACAATGCCACCAGTCTCTTTGCCAAAGGTTAGCAAGAGTGACCTTTACTCCAGTTCTCAGTAAGTTCCTCATCTCCATCTGAGGCCACCTCAGCCTGGACTTCATTGTCTATATCACTATCAGCACTTTGGTCACAATAATTTAACAAGTCTCTAGAAAGTTACAAACTTTCCCTCATCTTCATGTCTTCTGAGCCCTCCAAACTGTTCCAATCTCTGCCTGTTACCCCATTTCAAAGTTGCTTCCACCTTTTCAGGTATCTTCATAACAATGCCCCACTCCAGGTACCAATTTTCTATATTAGTCCATTCTCGCACTCCTATAAAAAACTACCTGTGGCTGGGTAATTTATGAAGAAAATAGGTTTAATTAACTCACAGTTCCACAGGCTGTACAGAAGGCATGGCTGGGGAGACTCTCTAGACTCATATAGCCTGGAAAAATAGCCCTCATTCTGGGTACACTCTGGCACCCATAGGGGAGGAGGTTTGGGGAGCAAAATGAAGCTGGAGCTCTTTCAAAGCTTCAGTCCCAAAGAAAATCCCAACTTGCAAGGCTTTCTGTATTTCACGTATCTCAGAGTTCAGCCAATGCAAAAAATCTATTCCTTGGGTATAGGGTAAGGAGACAGGAAGTTACTTGTTAAAAACAACTAAAAGCAAGTGATTTAACATCATGGCTATCTGAGCCAGTGGATAACAACAATGGAGCAAAAAACCTCAAAAGCTTAAAAGAAAAGCTGGAGCATGAGATATACACATAAGCTTTGGAAAGCTCCAATACATTCCTGGGAATTTAAAATGCCATGTGCATGCTTGAGGCTTTGCTCATGTTCAGGAAAGACCTGAGAAGGCCCTAGACTCTCTTACCACTGGTTGACTTTGAGGGTATATATAATGTGAAGGTTAAGGCAGTTACTAACTTCCTGGTAGAGTGTTGAAGTCATGCCCCAACATGCACATAGAGCCTTCTGGCAAAGACTAGGAGATTTCTTCATTACAGGCATTTAAGGAAATCTCTGTTCAATCATTAGCTGACCACTAAATTAATGAAACAGAGATGTCAGTGGCCACGTGTGACAAAGAATATAGATATACGAAATTAAATCTGTAAATTCAGAAAAGTCAATAAATAGCAACTACTACTGTGAACAGAAACAACAAATCCTGAGAGAAAAATTTATGATTTCTAAAATTTCCACATAGAATGTCCAATTTTCAACAAAAATTTACAAAATATGCAAAAAACCAAGAAGATATGATGTATACACAAGAAAATAATGAATAGAAACTATCCCTCAGGCAACCCAGATGTTAGATTTACTGAACAAATACTTTAAATTAGCTATTTTAATTATGTTCAAAACATAAAAGAAACTATGTCTATATAACTAAATGAGCATATGAGAATGACATCAAATAGAAAATATCAATAAAGAGATAGAAATCATAAAAAAGAACCACATAGAAATTCTTGAATTGAAAAGTACAATAACTAGGCCGGGCATGGCAGCTCATGCCTGTAATCCCAGCACTTTGGGAGGCAGAGATGGGCAGATCACCTGAGGTCAGGAGTTCGAGACCAGCCTGGCCAACATGGTGAAACCCCATCTCTACTAAAAATATAAAAATTAGCTGGGTGTCATGGTGGGTGCCTGTAATCCCAGCTACTTGGGAGGCGGAGGCAGGAGAATTGCTCAAACCTGGGAGGCAGAGGTTGTAGTGAGCCAAGACCATGTCATTGCACTCCAGTCCAGCCTGGATGACAAGAGCGAAACTCTGTCTCCAAAAAAAAAAAAAGAAAAGAAAAGTACAATACCCAAAATGAAGATTTCACTAATGATGCCAAACAATAGGTATAACCAGGAAGAAAAAAAAAAAATTGGTAAATGTGAAGACAGGTCAATTGTGGTTACCATGTCTGAGGAACAGAAAAAAAAATAGAACCAAAAAAATTAACATAGCCTTAGATTTTTGTGGAACAGCATCAAATGTACCAATATATGCATAATAAAAGACTCAGAGGAGAGGAGGAGAAAGGATATTTGATAAAACAATGGCTGAAAACTCCCCAAACTGATTAAAAACATTAATCCACACATCCAAGAAGTTTCACAGACTCCACTCCGAGAGACCCACACCTAGATATATAAACTGTTGAAAGCCAAAGACAACGAGATACTTGAAACCAGCAAGTTAAATCATATGACCCAACAAATTCTACTCCTAGACATATACTCAAGAGAATTGAAAACATATGTTCATATGAAAAAACTTGTACTTTAACACTCTGTGTCATTCTAGCCAAAAATGTGTAAATTCCATCTAATCTTGAAAAAAACATTAGACAAGTTTGGAGTTATTCTATAAAATAACTGACCAGTACTCTTCAAAAGTGAAAACCGGCACAGCATGGTGGCTCACGCCTGTAATGCCAGCACTTTGGGAGGCTGAGGTGGGTGGATCACAAGATCAGGAGTTCGAGACCAGCCTGGCCAATATGGTGAAACCCCGTCTCTACTAATAACACAAAAACTAGCTGTGCATGGTGGTGCGTACCTATAGTCCAAGCTACTCGGGAGGCTGAGGCAGGAGAATCACTTGAACCTGGGAGGAGGAGGTTGCAGTGAACCAGGATCACGCCACTGCACTCCAGCCTGGGCGACAGAGCAAGCCTCCGTCAAAAAAAAAAAAAAAAAAAAAAAAGTGAAAACCAAGGAAAGACAGAGAAATTGTCAGATTGAAGACCAAGGACACACAAGCACTAAAGATAATGGGACATAGTGCATTGGATTTCAGAGTAGAAAAAAGACATTGGGGGAAAACTGGTGAAATTTGAACAAGGTTTGCAGTTTAAAGGGTTTTATCATTGTTAATTTCCTAGTTATGATCATTGTGCTATAATTATGTAAGTATGTATGCACACTGGATAAAAGGTATATGTAAACTCTATAATTTTTGCAATTTTTCTATAAGTTTAAAATTCTTAAAAGTAAAAAGAATTGACATAAAACAAGTTTAGAAGAGATCTATCAAAATAGTGAAGAGATGTTGCATGAAAAACTATATAAACCAATCAGAAATGTTTAGCTTGGAAAAAAGAACTGGGAGAAATATTTAAAGGAGTATCATGTGGAAAATATCACATTATTTTGCTTGCTTGCAATGAACCCAGCAATTAGAAATTAAACCAGAATCTAAAAGAGATAGCTTCCTATTCTACACAAAGAAGTCTTGGGAGAAAGTGTGTTCTTTCTCACGGAAGAGTTCAAACATAAAGTGAAAGAATGTTTGTCAGCAATGCTGTGAAGGTTACTCAAGAACTACACGGAGATTGGATGAAAAGCTTGATAAAGTTCTTTTTACACCTAGGTTCCACCTTCTGTGCAAAGCGGATCCAGGAACTAAGGGAAGCCAAGAGAGATATAACTCAAAACATTAGTTGGATTTTTCTCAGAGAGACAAAGCAGTAATCAGAAAAGCTAAGGTTGTGGTTTGGAGTGATAATAATGTAAAAATCAAACTAAGAGAACAAGGTATTAGCAGAACAAATTGTATAATTAATCGCCATAAAAAGTCAGATATACTGAGCATGTTTAGAATAAAAATTTGAAGGAGTTAACAGGCCTTTGAATAAGAATTTGAATCATGTTTTAAGGATGTGTGGGAAACTTTATTAAAGCAAGCTAGACATCTAACTCTTAGATTCCATTAACCTAAGAAGACTTCGTGGGGAAGCGTACTTTCAAGATTTTTTAATTTTAAGGTCTGAATAGATAGAAAATGCTAGTCTAAGGTTGCTATTTTTATGTGGATGTACTTGTGTTTCTGTATGCGTGTGCATGTGCACCCACAGGCAGTAATATATCCCTACCTGAGCAAATGCATGAAGAGATCCTGACAACATTCCTTTTCAAAGATGTATGGTGACTTTGTTCACTCCTCAGACAATAAGTAAATGTGCTCTCTAACAAACTTTTTTTTCATGATTCTCTTTTAAAGTAATTTAATGAAAATAAAGACTCTCATATGATATCATATTTCCCATAGAGTACAATTACTTCTACTTAGTTCTAATTTAGAATAGAGATTTGTCCTCTATATTAATAACATTTCTTCTAATATAGCTTGCAAAATTAGATTATTTTCAGAGGATTTAGCAAAACTGGTAATTTAGTTCAGAAGCAGGATAATCAGAGTAGGTTATAATAAAGATTTGTTTAGTGTATCTAAAGTAAAACATAATGCTGAAATACTAAAAAACTGAAATACTAAAAAACTAGGCTGGACATGATGGCTCATGCCTGTAATCCTAGCACTTTGGGAGGTGGGAAAATTGCATGAGCTCAGGAGTTTGAGACTAGCCTGGCCAACACAGCAAGACCTTGTCTCTACAAATTAAAGACAAAAAACAAAAAAACTAAAAAACAGTAATCAATTTTAAAATTAAGTTATGAAGTTACGCAATTTTTTCATTACAATCAAATTCTAAGCTTAGGCATAAGAGAATTCACTTAAGCCTTTGTATATAGTCATTATTCAATAAGTTATTTGTTGATTTTTCTTAAGCTTGAATTCATATGAATTAGTAAGGATGAAACAAAGCAGGCATTTTAGAAGTACAAAACAACCTATCATCTTTATTGTGTCATTTTTACTGTTATTGACATTTATTAATGTGTTGGGGTTGCTTAGAAGTTAGAATATTGAGATCAAAGTAATGTCTTCATTGTCCTCTCACCTCTGTATGGCATGTCTTTGACACTCACTCCAATCACTCTATCAATATTCACATAACTGGGGTTCCAGATAAAAGGCATATTCTCTATGTATGAACATTCCTCAGGACCACATTCCCTTTACTTCCACCCTGGGTCTTGACTCTTTTTATATTCTCTTTTCCCCTCCCTACACTTTGCATGATAAGGTCTCCTTTAGCTTGTTTTCTTTACCTAAAGTAGCCAAGAATCTGTCCCAAGAAAACTAGGTGACTACTTCCAAAGACATTCAATATAAAACTACTCAATAGAGACTACTTCCAGGTACTCTCAATAGAGTTACTTCGGGTAACCAATAGCAATCACTCAGGGGCAGATTTCATTTACTTTTGCCTTTGTTTTAGTTTAAGCACCGTCCAATTATAAGATAGAAAAGAAGTTGGAAGCATTTCTAGCACTAATTTCAAAAGCGATAAATATATCCTTTAGGGGTCTCCAAACCCAGGGCCGTGGACTGGTACCTGCCCATGGCCTACTAGGAATAGGGCCGCACAGCAGGAGGTGAGCGGTGGGAGAGCCAGCATTACCGCTTAAGGTCTGCCTCCTGTCAGATCAGTGGAGGCATTAGATTATAATAGGAGTATGAACCCTATTGTGAACGGTGCATTGTTAAGGCCTTCCTTTTTCTAGTTTAGATATTTCCACTAAGGGATAAACTTACCAACCCTTTCCATAGAGTCTGTAAGTAATCACTGTTCTCCAGGCTGAATTTCAAGTTACATGGCTGGCATAAACAAATATTTTCAATATAGTATAATTAGTACAATCTTAGGATTTATGAAGGGTTGTGAGTCTACCAAGGCTATATATAAGAGGTAGGGTTTTAATCTGAAAACAGATACTTTACTAAGTTGATATTTAAGTTGATGCTTTGAGGAAAAACAGGGACTTTGTAGGTAGACAAATGAAAGAAAGGGATTTGAGATATAAAAGATATATTCAAAGGTATACAAATAAGAGATCATGGCTGGGCGCAGTGGCTCACGCCTGTAATCCCAGCGCTTTGGGAGGCCGAGGTGGGCGGATCACCAGAGGTCAGGAGTTCGAGACCAGCCTGACCAATGTGGAGAAACCCCGTCCCTACTAAAAATGCAAAAAATTGGCCAGGTGTGGTGGCATATGCCTGTAATCCCAGCTACTCAGGAGGCTGAGGCAGGAGAATCACTTGAACCTGGGAGGCGGAGGTTGCAGTGAGCTGAGATCACGCCATTGCACTCCAGCCCGGGCAACAAGAGTGAAATTCCGTCTCAAAAAAATAAAAAAGAAATAAGAGATCATGGGAAACATCAAGCAATTCAGTTACAAAGGAAAACAAGGGAGGAGAGTGGGAAGAATGATTTTTAAAAAACTGGTTCAGCAGTTTAGTGTGAAACCATGGATGACCTATCAAGCTACAACCTTGAAGGTAACAAAAGGCAACCATTGGGTTTTAAGCATCAGAGTAATACAATCATTTCCATATTTCAGAACTTAATGGATAGATTATAAAATGAAGAAATTATAGATAGGGGCACAAGTTAGGAGGCAACGCAACATACCAAAGAAGACAGAAGCTGAACTGAAGAGATGAAATAAGAGATGATGGTTGAAATGAGAAACTGGATTAGGAAAACAAACATTTAGGAGTTAGATTAGAAAATAATTCATGATTATAGAATATTGAGTGTAAGGTGAAAGAAGTAGAAAGTAACTTGGGTTCACAACCTGTGTATGTGGGTGGATAGTGGACATTTCATAGAGAATGTGGGTCAAAGCATTTTAGGATATCAATTTTAAACATACTAAATATGAAATAGTGTGAAGAAATAGGAACACTTTTACACTGTTGGTGGGACTGTAAACTAGTTCAACCATTGTGGAAGTCAGTGTGATGATTCCTCAGGGATCTAGAACTAGAAATACCATTTGACCCAGCGATCCCATTACTGGGTATATACCCAAAGGATTATAAATCATGCTGCTATAAAGACACATGCACACGTATGTTTACTGTGGCACTATTCACAATAGCAAAGACTTGGAACCAACCCAAATGTCCAACAATGATAGACTGGATTAAGAAAATGTGGTACATATACACCATGGAATACTATGCAGCCATAAAAAATGATGAGTTCATGTCCTTTGTAGGGACATGGATGAAGCTGGAAACCATCATTCTCAGCAAACTATCCCAAGGACAAAAAACCAAACACCACATGTTCTTACTCATAGGTGGGAATTGAACAATGAGAACACATGGACATAGGAAGGGGAACATCACACACCGGGGCCTGTTGTGGGGTGGGGGGAGGGGGGAGGGATAGCATTAGGAGATATACCTAATTTAAATGACGAGTTAATGGGTGCAGCACGCCAACATGGCACATGTATACATATGTAACTAACCTGCACGTTGTGCACATGTACCCTAAAACTTAAAGTATAATAAAAAAAAAAGAAATAGCTGTGTGTCACTCTGGTAAAGATATTTATAAGACATTTGAATATATAATATGGGTATGGAGCTCAGAAAAGTGTTTTATAGGCTAGAGACACAACTTCAGGGGTTATCATATAGAAAATGTCAAGCCATAAGAATAGATAACAACGTACAGGGGGAAAAGTAGACCAAAGTCAGCACTTAGGAAACACCAGTATTTAAAGTATTTTCACTGCTTTCCATAAGAAATTTAACCCTAGATTATATAAATTTGGTAAAATTTTGGACTTTGTCTATATTTAATCAGTAACACTTAACCAGGGTATTACTATTTAAAATGCAGACATGCACACTATCTATAAAATCCATCTTAAAATACTGAACTATGTATAATGAAATAGCTTGTACATGATTTATAATTCCATCTAGAATAATCAGACAAAATAAAATTAAAGCAAAATCAACCAAACAAAACCATTTGTTTGAAGGCACTGTAAAGCTGTTGAGGCAGCCAACATTGACAGGCCAATCTTGTAAAGAAGAGAAGCTTATTGAAATCAGCGCTACATTCAGCATACCACTTTTCCCTTCAGGGTATCCGCCTATTAATACTTGGAGAAGAAAGGGAGACTGAAAATCCAGGATGAGGAAAGATGCTGAGAGTCAGGAAAGCCAGCGAATTATCTGGCAATCTCAAAGAGCTAAGGAGACAAAAATTAGACTTCAGGGCTGGCAGGAAAGAGAACTTGAGAAAACACGTTCCAGAAAGAAGTGAACAAGACACTTGGAGATTTTCCCCTTGAGGCATTTTTAAAAATTCTTAGCTCTTCCATAATGAGCTAAGAATTTTAAAATTCTTCTAGGGAAGAGCCTAGAAGACAAGCAAAATACTATGAAGTAACCACTGCCCAACAGATGGGCCATTAGTTCATACAACCATCAATCTATTATGACCTCTAGAGAAATGGCATGCTTTAAAATGATGATATAAGTATACAATATTTTAGTATAAATAATATATCAGTTTATAACCTTATATTAAAATTGAAGTAAGATATAGAATTTTTATAAGCTAGAATAAATTCGTATGGGAATGACTTAGGAATATTCTTTGTGAATTAAGGAGAAAAGTAACCTGTAATGCAAAGGTTAGACACGCTGATCTAATAATTTTTTTTTTTTTTTTTTTTTGAGTCAGAGTCTTGTTCTGTAACCCAGGCTGGAGTGCAGTGGCGTGATCTTGGCTCACTGCAACTTCCGCCTCCTGGGTTCAAGTGATTCTCCTGCCGCAGCCTCCCGGGTAGCTGAGACTACAGGCATGCGCCACCACGCCTGGCTAATTCTTGTATTTTTACTAGAGATGGGGTTTCACCAGAATGGTCTTGATCTCCTGACCTTGTGATCAGCCTGTCTCCGCCTCCCAAAGTGCTGGGATTACAGGCGTGAGCTACCACGCCCGGCCTCTGGTCTAACAAATCTTTAAGATTAAAACCAGGTAGAAGTAACTATATTTTACATTTCACTTATTATAATTTAGTTGGTCATAGAGAACATTTACCAAAAGCTTAAGAAGGCAAATACTTTGAGTAAGCTCATTTGGACATTCTTTGATCATAGTTTATTTCTCCCTTTAAAAATCCTTTTAAAAGGATCAAGATAGTTTTTTCTAATTAATATTACATTCATTGGGTCCATTTAGCAAGGCTGGATGGGTATACATGTAATGCTAAAATTAAATAAGTCCTGTCTTGCCAGGGAGCTCATGAAAAGAATGATCTGCTAGCCACCACGGCTTGCTTCGTGGTTACTTTGCATATCACAAAGAATGACGTAGAATTTTCTGAAATTAATCCTGGCAGTCCACGATTTAAATTAATGCAAGGGATAGTAAAATGTAAAAAATCATAATATAATTCTGAAAGATGCCATCGTTCCTTTTTAGAAGATTATAGGAATATAGACTTGTATATGCATAAAATACATTATAATATAAAATAATCAGTATTAGGGAGTCTTTTGAATTTCAATAAAAAGACAGAATTACAAAAATACATAGTATATTAGTGTGTGTATTGTGTTTGCATGTTTGTGTACGTTTGTGTGTTTAGGTGTGTTTTACATAGCTAGCCTCCTTTATCTGAATGTGGTATGGGGTATGTGTCTGTGATTGCCTATGTGTGAAATACATTTGTATACATCAATAACAAGTATTTATTAAGTATATAATTGATCATAAGCAATAATTCTATTAAAATGACTGCTGATATAGTACTTTAACTTTCAATATTTTTCATGTCTACTAGCTAATTTTATCTTCATAATAACCTGTGAGATAATTAAGTAATACTGTCTTCAAAAGATTGTGAATAGGCTATTTTTTCTTATTTAGAATTCTACTTTTTCTCTTCCTTATACCAAGAATTGGTTGAGCTTTATTATTGCAAAGTGTTTTTCCACCCCCTACATGTGGAGCTATTAAGAGGGGCTCAGTGGTCCTCAAAGCTACAACATACCGGATTTAGGATTAAGTCACATATATATATATATATGCATAATATATATATATATATATTATGCATATATATGTGCATATGTACATAAAAAAGTGTTAAGATTTCAAGATTAAAAGGGTATTTTAATAAGAATATCTAAGACCAAGGTGATCTTGTCTTGTTCCTATGCACTTCTTCAGACACTCTCCATTCACTGTGAGGCAGTCGTTCAGTATTCAGGGATCTTATGGGTGATGGTGGCTGCCATCCCCCACCCTCACCAAAAACACACTGCTTAGAGAATGTGCCACACTCCAACTGTTTTCACAAATTCTTTATCAAAAATTTCATAGTGCCCTGATTTTGCTAAATATTAGTTTGCTCCAATCTAATAAACTAAATGCTAAGGTACAAATTACCATGAACTGTTTGATACACCAACTCACTTGAGAAAACTGCATCTACCAAAGAAACTTGAGAGGCCACAGCTTCCTATTTAAAAGAGTAATTAGAGTAAGCAGAGCTTCAGACACTGTGGCAGAAAAGCAAAGATCTTCCTGGTACTTATTCAATCACAGCTCTTATGGCAACGAAATCTGCTTAGGTACATGAAAGCTAGGGCAATGTGTTGCCTGGGTGTACTTACAGGTCACCATGAATGAGTCCATAGATCTGTGACATGCTCTGATGATAGATTCCTTTCAAAATAACTATGAGGAGAATCACCACAAAAGCTGGTAGTCCCCAACTCAGAAGGAAAAACAGCAGATATCGCCTCTCTGTGTGCTCATCATTCATCACCAGCACGTACCAGAAATTCACAGACTAAGGAAGAAAACAACATAAAATGAACAGGCTCTTCTTTAATGGCACAGAACACAAACTCTACTGGCTTAGGCAATGTTACCGACCAACAAAAGGCCAGGATCTACTTAATAATTAGTTTTGATTTTTTTAAGTTAGTTCATACATTCATTCTTTCATAACAATTTCATTCTTATCCAAGAAATTCAGGATACCTCAAAATTCTGGAAACACAGGGAAATATTTAGTTGATTTGCTGTATTTTTTATTTGCCTTAATTTGCTCTGATTTACTCTCAGTTACAATCTTCTATGACTGTTTTGTAAACGTGTCTTTGAAGAAACATACTCTGATATGCAAACCTACTTCCCACATTAACTTCCAGGTGATAATGAAATAAAAAGCCCTATATTTTCAAGCTTTTTGACAATTTTTATTTATTGAGGGCCTATCATATGGCAGGGCCAGATACTGTTCTAGTGGGGAAATAACGTTGAAGACAACCTTGATCTCAGTGTCCAGTGGAAGGTGTAGACAAATAAACAGAAAATGATCGCACAGAGAGAAAGTACTATAGTGGTGTTCATTTTGTGGTCCATGTTTCCCAATTTATACTCTCTCCCTTTTGTTCATTCACATGACAAATATTTATTGCTTACTAAATTTCACAGACCAGTGTAGGTGCTGGGGATACAGCAGTGAAAGAGATGGGGTGGTATTTACTTTCTTGAACCTTAGTTTCCAAATAAGTGGGACACAAATAATTAAGGGCAATATTTCTTTTATATTATATTTACATCACATCTTATATCTGTTATTTCCTACTGAGATAAAACATATAAATGGGACAAGTGTGTAGAGTGAAGGGGGATGAGGGGACACATTAAATAAATAAGAGTAAGAAAACTGAGGCCTATAAATGCTATGTTGGCTCCAAATCCCACACCTAACTTGGATCTAAGTCTTCTAGTGTCTTCTTTCCATAAGGAATGCTCATATTTAATTATCATTTAGTACAGTAACAATATTGAATGCCATGCCATACATATTTCAAACAGTAATACTTATTGCCTGGATAAATCCTCCTTCTCAATTTTGTATGGTAGAAAGAGTGTGAGTATGAATGAATTATATATTATGTCTATATTATTATATGTCTATAATTCATTCATACTCATTAATGTTATACTTTAAGTGGATAATCTTGGGCAAGTCACAACATTTTCAGAGCCTCAGTTGCATGTATACAACAAGGTTATTATAAAGATTAAATGAGATGTTACATGTAAAGTGCTGAGCACATACATAGTCAATGCTGGAAAATGTGACTGCCTCTTCTTAAATCTCTTATTAAGAGGTCAGACAGTGTGAAAGACAAAAGATAAACACTTTTCTATTTGAAAAATAAGCATTCCTAATGTTTGTGGGAAGGCTTTCAGATGTTTTATTTACTGAGGCTTCTGAGTAAGATTGTATCTGTACCAAATTAGCCTTGAGGGATTAGTATTAGGCTAAACCAGGGAAGGATAAAAATGTTTGGTTACTTAGAGATTTGTGTCTCTGAATTTTATTTCCTGCCAGCACTCCATATCTCTATGTACATCTGCTTATATCTGTAATTATGAAGCATGTTTTGAGTTGTTGCTTATGTAACTTTGTTCTAATTCATTTTTAAAAATTACTAGATCCAACTTTTTTTTTCTTTCTATAATTAATATAGGGATGTGGACTCAAATAAGCGGGGTTGTGTAAAGTGTTGTTGCTGGGGTAATCAATACTGCCTGTTAAAGAATGAAAATTCATACAAAGCAAGAATCATTGATTAATCCATCTTCTAAACAAAAGTACTAATTATTTATGTTGGATAGATGCTTGTGTGCATCCATGTGACATCGTAACTCGGTGGTGCAGTAGGTGGAAGAGTCAAGGAGGAGGGTACAGATTGCTAAATGACTCTAAGCTGATTCACCATGATAAAGATTGAGACATTTTCAAAATGTCTGCTTTTACGCAGAAGGACATTAGTTCCATCAGTCAGAATTACTCAACCTGTCAGCAGCTGTCTGGCCTTGACCACAGGCTCAGATAAGACTGAGACAAATGTAATTGTTAGATTTATACATGCAGTGCTTCTGTCCCAAAGAGCTCAAGGCCCAGAGTGGCTGAATTACTGAATACTTGATTAAGTAAAACAAGCTTCAAATGTCATAAGCTTTTGCCAATTATAAATAAAAAATAATTTAAATTTCTTCTTAAAAGAATATGATCACTGAAATATACTCTAGAGAAGTATTTCCCATAATATATCATTTTTAAAGCTATGGACTAGAAATACTAGAATGTAATGGAACAACATTTAATTATTTTAGAAACATTACATAGGCCAAACGTAAGATTTGTGTTGACTAGCTCATTTCAAGTTTTACTTGAATTTTATTTTAATGTAGTGTGGTAGGCACATTTTTGGACAAATGCCTAGCTCATGAGCAGCCCTTTTCCAAACCCTGCCTCTCTAACCCTCCTCCCACCACATGCAGAGTGCGCTCAGTGTGCTCTGTGTACTCCCTGACATTGCTCCCCTGGCCACAGCTGATTTAATCAGGGGAGAAGCCTGGCCCGGCTGAGCCAATCATCTACACTGAATTCCTTGATGTTCCATGAGTGTCTAAGCTGGTCGACTGAAGTAAGTGGACATAGAAAGGGCGTAGCCATGAGGGCAGTGAAGCAGAGGTGTGTTAGTAGAGAAGAATGCTCACAGTCCCTGTGAGGTCTAACTGTAGTTACAGTTCTTAGGTTCAATGAGTTATCCAAAATGCCTTTACAATTTCAATGTTTGTTTACATTAGCTCAACTTAGTTAACTTAGTTTTTCTTTCTTCTTCCACCCAAAACTTGAATGAGATGTATTAATGTATTGCTTTCCCAAAGCAGTGGTGTTAAAATCTCTAGTTACTGCCATTTTTTTTAAAAACCAAAAGAAGATGGTGGAGCATTTGACTATACAATATGTCCTCACTTAATACCATCAATAGGTTCTTGGAAACTGCAAAATTAAGCAAAACAAAGTATCATGAAACCAACGTTACCATAGATTAACTGATACAGAAAAGAGTTAAGTTCCTATGGCATGTTTCTGGTCACAAAACAATGACCAAGCTTCTAAATAAAGACCTAAATACTTCTCATATTAAACAATGAATTAAGTGTGACCTATACATACCTTTAAGAAAGATGGATAAGAACAAGTGAGATGATTATTTTTACAAAATTTTTTTTTAGAGACAAGGTCTTGCTCTGTCACCCAGGCTGGAGTGCAGTCGCATGATCATAGCTCACTGCAGCCTTGAAGTCCTGGGCTCAAGCAATCCTGACACCTCAGCCTCTCAAGTAAGTAATTTATCCAGGTTTTGGTGAATCAATGAGTGCCACTGGTTGTCATGATGGTGGGTTAAATCAAGGAATCAATGTTTGCACAGTGAAAATTGTCAGGAGCACCTTCTACCACTAGGCATGTCAAAAACAATCACAAACATGGCAGGCTCCCTGTGCACTTCTGTACAGCATTGTTTATTGTCCTGCATTTACATGATTTACTTTCTTCATATACTTTATAAATTTTTATTTTACAATAATTTGTATTCACTTATTCATTCATTTTATAACCTGCTTATTCCAGTTCAGGGTCAAGGATGACCAGAGCCCATTCTGGCAGCTCAGGGCACAAGGCAGGAACCAGCCCTGGACAGGATGTCATCCCATCACAGGGTGCACTCACACATACACACCCATGCACATGCAGAGCGGGAACATCTAGACATACCAATTAAGCCAACGTGCACAGCTTTAGGATGTGGGAGGAAACCCAAGTACTAGAGAAAACCCATGCAAACATGGGGAGAACATGCAAACTCCACTGTGAAAAGAAAATAAATCTTGGGGCCCCCAAATCACTAAGCTAAAGGGAAAAGTCAAGCTGCGACTGCTTAGGGCCAACCTGCCTCCCATTCTATTCAAAGTTACCCCTCTGCTCACTGAGATAAATGCGTATCTGATTGCTTCGTTTGGAGAAGCTAATCAGAAACTCAAAATAATGCCTCAAAAAATGTATCTTCTCTACCTATGACCTGGAAGCCCACTCCCCACTTTGAGTCTTCCCACTTCTGCTTTGGGTTGTCCTGCCTTTCCAGACTGAACCAATGTTCACCTTCCATATGTTGATTGATGTCTCATGTCTCCCTAAAATGTATAAAACCAAACTGTGCTCTGACCACTTTGGGTACATGTTATCAGGACCTCCTGAGGCTGTATCATGGGCGTGTGTCCTAAACCTTGGCAAAATAAACTTTCTAAATTAACTGAGACCTGTCTCAAATTTTCAGGGTTCACATCTCACAGAGAGTAACCAAGGCTAGCAATTTATTTATTTTCTCATCAATGTTACAATAAAACGATATTGAATGAAATGATATTACTTGAGGACCTGTTGTATTCCTTTCCTTGAAATCACTGTTCTTCCTTCATAATCTAACTTAAGAGTATTAACAGATCATTATATTTGCACAATAATTTAATGTTAACAGATATATAGCAAATGTGATCTGTGTGCCTGATTGACTATGCGTTTATCCAATGTGGAACTAACAGAACGCAAGTCAAAGGGTGTCGCTCACCTAAATATGCTTCATGCTAACTAAACATAGCTTACTGTTCACTGTTTATCTTACACGTTTTCTGCTAAAGACTGTACTAAAATATTCAATATGTAGGTCTCTATTTACACTTCTGTTTCTAAGCTTTTAAAATGTTGTTAGAAGGATCTTATAAACTATCTTAAGACCACCCACCCTCACAATGTAGTCATGTCATTTTTAGCCGAAATGTTATTATGCCCAAAGTTAACCAACTAAATTCATCCTACTTGACTGTTTCTACATTTCATACACACTCCGAATACAAAGTTTCCTAGCATTAAGGTCATTTAAACAGATACGATATAGTCTCTGAAGACAAGTCCAAAAAAATTCCAAAATATTTTCAGCATTATAAACCACCAAATTTGTCAGTTGGAAAGAGACAATTAAATGAAAATTTTTTTAGCTTAAAAATCAGTGATGTTACTAAATAGTCTCATCTTTAATAACTCTAAACATTAGTATATTAGAGCTACCATCTTCTTATTTTCATTGTTGCTTATCAGGAAAGATGATGTACTCTTGAATTCTCACACTTCTCACAATTACCAGCATATCATGATCACCTAGGTAACTGTACTTGGGAGTACCTAATTGAAAGCCCATTTTAATAAATGTAAAGAAAACTATGTAATGCTATTTTTGAAAATTTCCTATTACAAACACAATCTATACAAATACGGAAAAGGAAGATTTGCAAAGGACTCATCCAGAAGTAAAGGTCCAGGTGAATAATAAGTTATATAGATGTTATATATTTTTTAAAAATCTACAAAATTCAAAAGGACATGATTATTAGTAACTTGATTTGGGTCTTTGACATGGTTCTGCAATGGATAAACTGCTTTTTGGCCAATTTCACTTGGCTTCTCTGGGTTTTAATTTCCTTCTGTGGTAAAAGGAGAGGTTACATTTTTAGTTATTCATAATTTCCTAACACTGTGATTGATTATTGCAGAAATGACAATTCTTTAAGTAAAAACACTAATGGCATGGATGTATGCAGACTATGTTTTTTTAGCAGCAACACAGATCTTACAAGTCATCTTACCATGCCCTCTTATAAGGAAACTGAGGCAATGAAAGAACAGCATAGCTTTTTCATCTTCTGGTTAGCTATAGAACTGGGAGTGCAACATACTCCAAACTGCCTTGTAAAGGCTGATTATATTTAAGATTTATTTCCATATAAATTGACACAAATAGGCTGGGCACGGTAGCTCACATCTGCAATCCCAGTACTTTGGGAGGCCAAGGTGGGAAGACTGCTTAATCCCAGGAGTTCCAGATCAGCCTGGGCAACATAGGGAAACCCCGTCTTTACAAAAAATACAAACAATTAGCCAGGCATGATGATTACATGCCTGTAGTCCCAGCTACTCAGGAGGATAAGGCGGAGGATTGCTTGAGCCAGGGAGGCGGAGGTTGCAGTGAGCCGAGACTGCGCCACTGCACTCCAGCTGCAGTGACAGAACAAGACCCCATCTCAAAAAGAAAAAAAAAAAAAGAAATTGACACAAATATTGACAATATTATTATTTACATGAGAACTTCCTGTTCTCATTTTTTTTCACCACTCACTTTAAATGCCAGTGGAGATATGTTTTACTTGTAGAAGTAAAAAGATAATTTGTTCTGTATCTTCATTTTTTTCCTAAGTCTTAAGGAAAACTTACAAAGGCTTATCAGAATATAATACCCAAAACAATTGTGAACTATGGATTAATTTTTCTTTACCTTGTAGTACCTATTAAAATGCTTTGCATATAATTTTAATTGAGAAATATGAAATAAATGAAGATGTACACAATTTGTTTTGAGCATTTAAAACATTTTATTGACTTTAACAATAATTTTACAATTTATTTGGTTTAGTTTTGAGTTTGTTTATATACATATATATGCCACCTTGTTAAAAATAATTTTATTTAAATGTGTTTAAATTTTTAATTAAAATGGGTACACAATAGGTATATATTTATGGGGTAAGTGTGATGTTTTGATACAGGCATACAATCTGTAATAATCAAATCAGGGTAATTGGGGTATCCATCACCTCAACCAGTTATTATTTCTTTGCATTAGGAACATTCTATTCCACTCTTTTCATTATTTTAAAATATACAGTAAATTTTTGTTGAGCACAATCACCCTGTTGTGCTATCAAATACTAGATCTTATTCATCCTAACTATATTTTTGCGCCCATTAACCATCTCCTCCAGAAAGAATTTTAGAAGACTCCATAATTTTAATCGATTTGGCTGAACTCCCAATGAAGGACAGAAGTTAACTGGTGAAAAGTGAAAAACGTTGAAGGTAATAGTTTAAGAGGGGAAGAATGAAACAAATATTTATTTATTTATTTATTTATTTATTTTGAGATGAAGTCTCGCTCTGTCCCCCAGTCTGGAGTGTAGTGGCGCGATCTCGGCTCACTGCAAGCTCCGCCTCCCGGGTTCACGCCATTCTCCTGCCTCAGCCTCCCTAGTAGCTGGGACTACAGGCGCCTGCCACCATGCCTGGCTAATTTTTTGTGTTTTAGTAGAGACGGGGTTTCACTGTGTTAGCCAGGATGGTCTCGATCTCCTGACCTCATGATCCCCCCACCTCGGCCTCCCAAAGTGCTTGGATTACAGGCTTGAGCTACCGTGCCCAGTCAAAACAAATATTTATTCATTGATTAATAAACGTAGGCCAAACATAAAGTTATATATCATTTAATCAAGACTTTCCCCCTAGGTTTTACTATGTTCTGTTTACACCGGAGGAAACGGAGGATGGGAGAAGTATACTTTTCAGAATTAGTAATTCAGGCTATTGGAATTTAAACTGATTCTGTGTTAAATGCAAGCAACCAACTGAAATACCCAGATATAATTTAGGTCAAATATAGATAGCAGTAAACTAAAAGACTGTGTCTATAAGCATATTTACTTACATTCCTACACAAACCTATCTATTTATTTTTACAATAACATTTTCCCTACTATTTTTCCCAATATCCAGATAGAAAAATTGAAGACATATCTTGTTAAGTGTTTTGATTGTCATAGGCCATAGTTATGATTTCATATGTTCCATAAACACACATTCATTCGCTTATTCATATATCTTCATATAATGCATATTAGCATATGAGTAAAATATAAAGGAGAAATGCCTTTTAAAGTTAAAAATAGGCTATTTGAACTCCATAATTTTCATGGTATATGAAATAAAGATTGGTATCCTGACTGTTGTTTAATAGTTGATTATTAACTGTGTCACCAGAATCCTCAAACTGACTATAGCAACAAGTTTAGTTACAGATCACAGATGCTATTAATTCTGTCTATTCCATATGCCCTTAATCATTCATTTCAGATGGGAGTCTAAGAAATGTTATCCCTCGTCCTTGCCCCAGTTCTCCTCCCTCTTTCTTAACATTTATTGCATGAAATAAATTGCAAGACTTTTTGAGGACTGGAGAATTCAGTATTTTCTGGGTATGTCATTTTTATCTTGATAATTCCCAGTCTGTTGTCCTTAATACCTTTGATGTCCCCCAAAATTAAATCAACGATGAACGAGAAACAAGGCTAATTTTAGCATTTTCCTTCCTGTTTTGCTATGCTCTGGCACTAAGTAGCCTTTCTACCAAGGAATAAATAACACGCACATTTGCTTGTTCATAGCCTGGTTATATTGAGAAAATAACGCACAAGATGTGAATGCTCAAGTACAACTGTAAAATAATTTCTAACCTTATTCTACCATTTTAAAAATGTGTTCTTCAATTAAGCTGTAGTTTCAAAAGAAAAGATTATATTTCAAATTAAGCTGTGACTCTAGGCATGAGATGAGCAGACTGCAAAAACAATGCAAGGGTTGTATATCTTTCATAACTGATGCAGACTGCTATACAATCATTTAACTTGGTGACAGGAAGTGATCATAAAATTCGGCCAAATGAATATACAGGCAAAAATCATTTGTCTGCTTACCTATATCATATATGAATATCTCAAATAATTTACTTGCAATTTATTTACCTCATGCTTTGGAAATCCAACTGAGAGCATGTTTCATGTAGACATGAATAGCAAAGGCATAATTCCTAGGAATTTATTCTATGGATATGGCTCAAGTAAACAAATATTCAGAGTGCAAGGGTGTTCAAGGACACATTGTTTACTATAGCAAAAAGTAACACAATACCCAAAAAATAATGTAATTTCATCAACTGGAAGCCAGAAAAATAACTTATGTAATAATCATATTATAGCATAGGAAAAAGGTATACCCATGCATGGTAAACTTAAAGATGTCCATATATACATATACATATATATATATATATATATATATATACACACACACACACACACACACACATATACACACACATACAGATACACGTAAACATATATACACTATATATAAATATATGTACATTGTGTATATATATATATATATACACACTCACACACAAGAACACATGTCTGCTTATTTAAATATTTATAAATATTTGTCTATGCATGGAATATTGATGGAGAGATACACAGGAAAACAGTAGTGTTTACTTTCAGGAATTGGCATTGAGGGTAGAGCAAAGAATGGAGAATGCAAGAAATAGTGAGAAAAAGATGTACTTTTTATTTAGTATTCGATTATGTTTTGTACCATTAGTATATGCTATCTCTAAAATGAAACCAAATCAGAACAGAAGAAGGAAAAACAGAACTAGCAAAACAGAGTAAAGATACTGCAAGATTTTAAATTCTTACTGTCAATTTTTCTTAAAGTAGATATAACCCTGCCTTATTATTTTTTTTTTATTATTATACTTTTAAGTTCTAGGGTACATGTGCACAATGTGCAGGTTTGTTACCTATGTATACATGTGCCATCTTGGTGTGCTGCACCCATTAACTCGTCATTTACATTAGGTATATCTCCTAATGCTTTCCCTAACCCCTCCCTCGACCCCAGGACAGGCCCCGGTGTGTGATGTTCCCCTTGCTGTGTCCAAGTGTTCTCATTGTTCAATTCCTACCTATGAGTGAGAACATGCGGTGTTTGGTTTTTCATCCTTGTGACAGTTTGCTGAGAATGATGGTTCCTCCAGCTTCATCCATGTCCCTAAAAAGGACATGAACGCATCCTTTTTTATGGCTGCATGGTATTCCATGGTGTATATGTGCCACATTTTCTTAATCCAGTCTATCACTGATGGACATTTGGGTGAGTTCCAAGTCTTTGCTATTGTGAATAGTGCCACAATAAACATACACGTGCATGTGTCTTTATAGCAGCATGATTTATAATCCTTTGGGTATATACCCAGTAACGGGATGGCTGGGTCAAATGGTATTTCTAGTTCTAGATCCTTGAGGAATCGCCACACTGTCTTCCACAATGGTTGAACTAATTTACAGTCCCACCAACAGTGTAAAAGTGTTCCTATTTCTCGACATCCTCTCCAGCACCTGTTGTTTCCTGACTTCTTAATGATCACCATTCTAACTGGTGTGAGATGGTATCTCATTGTGGTTTTGATTTCCATTTCTCTGATAGCCAGTGATTATGAGCATTTCTTCATGTGTCTGTTGGCTGCATAAATGTCTTATTTTGAGAAGTGTCTGTTCATATCCTTCGCCCACTTTGTGATGGGGTTGTTTGTTTTTTTCTTGTAAATTTGTTTGAGTGCTTTGTAGATTCTGGATATTAGCCCTTTGTCAGATGAGTAGGTTGCAAAACTTTTCTACCATTCTGTAGGTTGCCTGTTCACTCTGATGGTAGTTTCTTTTGCTGTGCAGAAGCTCTTTAGTTTAATTAGATCCCATTTGTCAATTTCGGCTTTGGTTGCCATTGCTTTTGGTGTTTTAGACATGAAGTCCTTGCCCATACTTATGTCCTGAATGGTATTGCCTAGGTTTTCTTCTAGGGTTTTTATGGTTTTAGGTCTAATATTTAAGTCTTTAATCCATCTTGAATTACTTTTTGTATAAGGTGTAAGGAAGGGATCCAGTTTCAGCTTTCTACATATGGCTAGCCAGTTTTCCCAGCACCATTTATTAAATAGGGAATCCTTTCCCTATTGCTTGTTTTTCTCAGGTTTGTCAAAGATCAGATGGTTGTAGACGTGTGGTATTATTTCTGAGGGCTCTGTTCTGTTCCATTGGTCTATATCTCTGTTTTGGTACCAGTACCATGCTGTTTTGGTTAATGTAGCCTTGTACTATAGTTTGAAGTCAGGTAGTGTGATGCCTCTAGCTTTGTTCTTTTGGCTTAAGATTGTCTTGGCAGTGCAGGCTCTTTCGTGGTTCCATATGAACTTTAAAGTAGTTTTTTCCAATTCTGTGAAGAAAGTCATTGGTAGCTTGATGGGGATGGCATTGAATCTATAAATTACCTTGGGCAGTATGGCCATTTTTACAATATTGATTCTTCCTATCCATGAGCATGGAATGTTCTTCCATTTCTTTGTGTCCTCTTTTATTTCATTGAGCAGTGGTTTGTAGTTCTCCTTGAAGAGGTCCTTCACGTCCCTTGTAAGTTGGATTCCTAGGTATTTTATTCTCTTTGAAGCAATTGTGAATGGGAGTTCACTCATGATTTGGCTCTCTGTTTGTCTGTTATTGGTGTATAAGAATGCTTGTGATTTTTGCACACTGATTTTCTATCCTGAGACTTTGCTGAAGTTGCTTATCAGCTTGAGATTTTGGGCTGAGACAATGCAGTTTTCTAAATAGACAATCATGTCATCTGCAAACAGGGACAATTTGACTTCCTCTTTTCCTAATTGAATACCCTTTCTTTCTTTCTTCTGCCTGACTGCCCTGGCCAGAACTTCCAACACTATGTTGAATAGGAGTGGTGAGAGAGGGCATCCCTGTCTTGTGCCACTTTTCAAAGGGAATGCTTCCAGTTTTTGCCCATTCAGTATGATATTGGTTGTAGGTTTGTCATAAAGAGCTCTTATTATTTTGAGATACATCCCATCAATACCTAACTTATTGAGAGTTTTTAGCATGAAGAATTGTTGAATTTTGTCAAAGGCCTTTTCTGCATCTGTTGAGATAATCATGTGGTTTTTGTCTTTGGTTCTGTTTATATGCTGGATTACGTTTACTGATTTGCATATGTTGAACCAGCCTTGCATCCCAGGGATGAAGTCCACTTGATCATGGTGGATAAGCTTTTAATGTGCTGCTGGATTCGGTTTGTCAGTATTTTATTGAGGATTTTTGCATCAATGTTCATCAGGGATATTGGTCTAAAATTGTCTTTTTTTGCTGTGTCTCTGCCAGGCTTTGGTGTCAGGATGATGCTGGCCTCATAAAATGAGTTAGGGAGGATTCCCTCTTTTTCTGTTGATTGGAATAGTTTCAGAAGGAATGGTACCAGCTCCTCCTTGTACCTCTGGTAGAATTCGACTGTGAATCCATCTGGTCCTGGACTTTTTTTGGTTGGTAGGCTATTAATTATTGCCTCAATTTCAGAGCCTGTTATTGGTCTATTCAGGGATTCAACTTCTTCCTAGTTTAGTCTTGGGAGGGGGTATGTGTCCAGGAATTTATCCATTTCTTCCAGATTTTCTAGTTTATTTGCATAGAGGTGTTTATAGTATTCTCTGATGGTAGTCTGTATTTCTGTGGGATCGGTGGTGATATCCCCTTTATTAATTTTTATTGCATCTATTTGATTCTTCTCTCTTTTCTTCTTTATTAGTCTTGCTAGTGGTCTATCAGTTTTGTTGATCTTTTCAAAAAACCAGCTCTTGGATTCATTGATTTTTTGTAGGGTTTTTTGTGTCTCTATCTCCTTCATTTCTGCTCTGATCTTAGTTATTTCTTGTCTTCTGCTAGCTTTTGAATGTGTTTGCTCTTGCTTCTCTAGTTCTTTAATTGTGATGTTAGCGTGTCAATTTTAGATCGTTCCTGCTTTCTCTTGTGGGCATTTAGTGCTATAAATTTCCCTCTACACACTGCTTTGAATGTGTCCCAGAGATTCTGGTATGTTGTGTCTTTGTTCTCGTTGGTTTCAAAGAACATCTTTATTTCTGCCTTCACTTCGTTATTTACCCAGTAGTCATTCAGGAGCAGGTTGTTCAGTTTCCATGTAGTTGAGCGCTTTTGAGTGAGTTTCTTAATCCTGAGTTCTAGTTTGATTGCACTGTGGTCTGAGAGACAGTTTATTATAATTTCTGTTCTTTTACATTTGCTGAGGAGTGCTTTACTTCCAACTATGTGGTCAATTTTGGAATAAGTGCGATGTGGTGCTGAGAAGAATGTATAATCTGTTGATTTGGGGTGGAGAGTTCTGTAGATGTCTATTAGATCCGCTTGGTGCAGAGCTGAGTTCAATTCCTGGATATCCTTGTTAACTTTCTGTCTCATTGATCTGTCTAATGTTGACAGTGGGGTGTTAAAGTCTCCCATTATTATTGTGTGGCAGTCTAAGTCTCTTTGTAGGTCTCTAAGGACTTGCTTTATGAATCTGGGTGCTCCTGTATTCGGTGCATATATATTTAGGATAGTCAGCTCTTCTTGTTGAATTGATCCCTTTACCATTATGTAATGGCCTTCTTTGTCTCTTTTGAGCTTTATTGGTCTAAAGTCTGTTTTATCAGAGACTAGGATGGCAACCTCTGCCTTTTTTTGTTTTCCATTTGCTTGGTAGATTTTCCTCCATCCCTTTATTTTTAGCCTATGTGTGTCTCTGCCCATGAGATGGGTCTCCTGAATACAGCACACTGATGGGTCTTGAGTCTTTATCCAATTTGCCAGTCTGTGTCTTTTAATTGGAGCATTTAGCCCATTTACATTTAAGGTTAATATTGTTATGTGTGAATCTGATCCTGTCATTATGATGTTAGCTGATTATTTTTCTTGTTAGTTGATGCAGTTTCTTCCTAGCATCGATGGTCTTTACAATTTGTCATGTTTTTGCAGTGGCTGGTACCAGTTGTTCCTTTCCATGTTTAGTGCTTCCTTCAGGACCCCTTGTAGGGCAGGCCTCGTGGTGACGAAATCTCTCAGCATTTGCTTGTCTGTAAAGGATTTTATTTCTCCTTCACTTACAAAGCTTAGTTTGGCTGGATATGAAATTCTGGGTTGAAAATTCTTTTCTTTAAGAATGTTGAATATTGGTCCCCACTCTCTTCTGGCTTGTAGAGTTTCTGCGGAGAGATCTGCTGTTAGTCTGATGGGCTTCCCTTTGTGGGTAACCCAACCTTTCTCTCTGGCTGCCCCTTAACATTTTTTCCTTCATCTCATCTTTGGTGAATCTGACAATTATGTGTCTTCGAGTTGCTTTTCTCGAGGAATATCTTTGTGGCATTCTCTGTATTTCCTGAATTTGAATGTTGGCCTGCCTTGCTAAGTTGGGGAAGTCCTCCTGGATAATATCCTGCAAAGTGTTTTCCAACTTGGTTCCATTCTCCCCATCACTTTCAGGTACACCAATCAGACGTAGATTTGGTCTTTTCACATAGTCCCATGTTTCTTGGAGTCTTTGTTTCTTTTTACTCTTTTTCTCTAAACTTCTCTTCTTGCTTCATTTCATTCATTTCATCTTCCATCACTGATACCCTTTCTTCCAGTTGATCAAATCGGCTACGGAGGCTTGTGCATTCATCACGTAGTTCTTGTGCCATGGTTTTCAGCTCCATCAGGTCATTTAAGGACTTCTCTACACTGGTTATTGTAGCTAGCCATTTGTCAAATCTTTTTTCAAGGTTTTTAGCTTCTTTGCGATGGGTTCAAACTTCCTCCTTTAGCTCAGAGAAGTTTGATCATCTCATGCCTTCTTCTCTCAACTTGTCAAAGTCATTCTCCGTCTAGCTTTGTTCTGTTGCTGGTGAGGAGCTGTGCTCCTTTGGAGGGGGAGAGGTGCTCTGACTTTTAGAATTTTCAGCTTTTCTGCTGTGTTTTTTCCCCATCTTTGTGGTTTTATCTACCTTTGGTCTTTGATGATGGTGACGTACAGATGGGGTTTTGATGTGGATGTCCTTTCTATTTGTCAGTTTTCCTTCTAACAGTCAGGACCCTCAGCTGCAGGTCTGCTGGAGTTTGCTGGAGGTCCACTCCAGACCCTGTTTGCCTGGGTATCAGCAGCAGAGGCTGCTGAACAGCAAATGTTGCTGCCTCATCGTTCCTCTGGAAGCTTTGTCTCAGGGGTACCCGGCCATGTGAGGTGTCAGTCTGCCCCTACTGGGGGATGCCTCCCAGTTAGGCTACTTGGGGGTCAGAGACCCACTTGAGGAGGCAGTCTGTCCATTCTCAGATCTCAAACTCTGTGCTGGGAGAACCACTACTCTCTTCAAAACTGTCAGACAGGGACACTTAAGTCTGCAGAGGTTTCTGCTGCCTTTTGTTTGGCTATGCCCTGCCCCCAGAGGTGGAGTCTGCAGAGGCAGGCAGGCCTCCTTGAGCTGCAGTGGGCTCCACCCAGTACGAGCTTCCCTGCTGCTTTGTTTACCTACTCAAACCTCAGCCATGGTGGGCACCCCTCCCCCAGCCTCGCTGCTGCCTTGCACTTCGATCTCAGACTGCTGTGCTAGCAATGAGTGAGGCTCCGTGGGCGTGGGACCCTCCGAGCCAGGCACGGGATATAATCTCCTGTTGTGCCATTTGCTAAGACCATTGGAAAAGCGCAGTATTAGGGTGGGAGTGATCCGATTTTCCAGGTACTGTCCGTCACCCCTTCCCTTGGCTAGGAAAGGGAATTCCCTGATCGCTTGCACTTCCCTGGTGAGGCGATGCCTCGCCCTGCTTCGGCTCACGCTCGGTGGGTTGCACCCACTGTCCTGCCTCCACTGTCCGATCAGGCCCCGTGAGATGAACCCAGTACCTCAGTTGGAAATGCAGAAATCACCCGTCTTCTGTGTTGCTCACGCTAGGAGCTGTAGACTGGAGCTATTCCTATTTGGCCATCTTGGAACTGCCCCAACCCTGCCTTCTTAAGGGAGAAATGATTTCAATAGTTTCAAGGAGTGATCTTACATGAAGAGCAAACAGATGGATAATTCAATATCTATGGCCAAGAAAGGAATTTATGAATTGTTTCCTTTTAAAAAATAAGCAAAATAATTTGTTAATACATCCTCGCTTTGCACTGTGTGACTTCTCTGTCAAAGAAAAGGGAAGCCTGAAGAAACAGAGGCAAGGCTGCTATTTATGGAGCCTGTTATGAGCCATGCATCTACTTTAATAAGGAGTTAAAGGTTCTCCAGCTTGCTAAGGCTTTGCAGCTAGTTAGTGTCCACCTCACTCAAAGTCGGACCTCTTTCCACTACATGAAGATGATCTTCTTTGGTTAAAAAGAAGGTATAAATTTATATTGGAATAGCAGAGTATTCAAGATGTTTTCAAATCTATGAAATTTTAGCCACAACATATTATCTTAACAAATAATATGGGTAAATATGTACAGAGTATGCATTCTGTCCCAGACACCATTTCAAGTTCATTCTATACATTAATTCATTTTGTCTTTTCACAGTCTGTAAAGAGAGGTACTGTTATTACAACTTGAGTTTTCAAATAAGAAAATCAAGGCTCAGAGAGGTTATGTAACTTGTTTACCAATAAAATTTTCCCTAAGCTACTCTAAAATATAATCTAACTTTATTATATGGCACTAAAAGTATAGGATATAAAAGTAAAATAATTTTCAAGATAAAGTCATTTCAATGTATTTATTCTAAGACTGAAGATACGCAGATAAAAATAAACGTTAACAATTCTGACATGCTTAACTCAGTAATTACAAATTAATGATTAATTTATTGTCATTATAAGCTATGCACAGACATATGTAGTATCATATTCGCTCCTATATTACTAAAAAAATGAAGTAGAATCATTAAAGTAAAAACTTCTCTCAATTTTATTCAACCTAATTCAACTAATAGGATTGAACTAATAATAGTCTAACCTTCTACATAATGTTTTTAAAACGGATTTTAGAAAAAAAAAGATTTCAGCAGTCACTGTTTTATAAATGGGAATATGTAGGTTGGTGAAGTGCAACCTCTGATCATAAAATAATTCATTAAAAGTAACCTAACTAGAATTCAGAACTGACTGACTTTTTCCCTTGTGGTCAAATCACAAACCATGAAAAATGTGTGGTGTACCATCTGAAATACATTAAACTTCACTGGTACTTTAAATAGCTTTCCTAAGCCATTAGCCATCCAGAATCTAATTGGTCTACTAAATGTGAATCAGGCACAATCATATTTACCTAACTCAAAGAAGAGATGTAGAATATACCAATCTTCATTAACTTGGGTGAAATCTTATATATGATTTTGTCTAATGCCCCTGAAAGCAGAAAATCCATCTAAAACATGTTTGAAAGTTGGTCATTTCCCTCTCCATATATTTCAGTGATTGAATTTACTCTACTTTTAGAAAAGCCTCTTCAACTTTGACAGTTTTATTGCTATGAACACTCTTAACCTGAATCAAAAATTTCCTTCCCTAATTTTTGACCCATTTGCTCTGAGTTGTGCCAAATGGAGCTACATAGTCCACCCTTTCCTGCAGTAGCCCTTCCGGTATTTGTAGACAGCCATCACATTTACCTAAATTCTTTCCAGGTTAGTTATGTCCAGCTGCCTCAAAGTTTCTTAGGGGGTTGTTTTCCAACTTCTCATTGGATAATTAATGTTCCTGCTGAAACACGACCCATGAGAGTGGTTGCTATGTCCCAAAATAGTCTGAATTTTGTAAATTACAACGTAAACATGTCTGCTTCCATACTGCTATCAACGCAACCTAGGTGTGTGTTGTTTTTGTAGTTACAGTAGTTGTTATTGTTAAGCATTCTGGTCACATATTCAATTGCTGCTGAGTTTATGTTAAATTATAATTTTGAGTAATTTACATTAACTTCCATCAGATGATGTCTCTTTCACTCTAGTTTTTAATTTATCACAGTACAGTTTCTCTTCATTGGCTCTACTTGTAATCTTAATGCAGGCAGCTCTCTGTTGCAGCTGTCCTTTCAGTTCTGTACCACGTACATATCTGATAAGCAATTTCCTGTGTTTTCATCCAAGTAATGAATCAAAAATTCTGAATAGGTCAGGGGCATGGACAAAGACCTTTAGCATAGCACTGGGGACCTCAATACAGGCAGACAGATAACAACATAAATAGGGCACATTTAAAAAAGTTTAACTCAGATAAACTCTTACAGAATTTTGCAATCAGAAAATCTCGCAAATGTTATTCTAATTTCAGCAGATATGTAAGTTTTATGTTATATGGTTTAAATTCACTTTTATTTGCAAATTTTTTTGAGAGGGGAGCTTGAAAACACCATTAATTTTCCATGATTAAAACTGCTCAAAGAGCTATAAAATATTAATAATAATTCTATGAGTTAGGAATTATTATCCCTATATGCAGATTTAGAAACAAATCTTGGAGAGAGTCAATAGCTTGATTAAGCTTACACAGATAGTGGCAGAGCCAGAATTCAAATCCAGATCCAGGGTGCCACTTGTTTCAACTAGTTCTATTAGCTAAATAGTTCAGTTCTCTTCTTCAGCCCCCACTACTATCATATCATACTGGGGAAAACAACCCTTCCTTGAGCCTGTGTGGTATGTGGTATTCTCTCATAATACCACCACCTCACTTTCTTTCTCCTTTTACCATTAATTCACTGTTGCTACATCATCAAGTCCCACAACCTTCCTCTTCAACAAGAAAAAAGAATATGCAAGGGCCTGAATGCATCTGTTTCATTAAAATAGTTTACATCCATACTCAGAAATGCATATGAAACAGTATCACATGAAAACCTTAAAAATACCATTACACAGAATGCATTACCAAAGGCAGCATTTTAGTTGAGCCACTTAAATACTACGCACCATCCTCCTCTCTTAGCCTCTTTATCGACCAAATCAGCATAGAATAATGGAGAGAATTTGGGATTTTATTTAGAAAAGGAAAATTGAAATTTCTCCCCCAACATTTACTAGTTCCTCAGGGGAGTATGCTAGGACTCTACTGGTCTCACTCTGTACCTTCTCGCCAAGTAATCTCTTCCAAACCAATGGCTCCATTTTCCAACTCTAAGCCAATAGCTTCCCAGTGCATTTCTTTCTTTCTTTCTATTTTTTTTTTTTTTTTTTTTGGCAGAGTTTCGCTTTTCTCGCCCAGGCTGGAGTGCAATGGTGCCATTTCGGCTTACTGCAACCTCCGCCTCCTGGGTTCAAGTGATTCTCCTGCCTCAGCCTCCCTAGTAGCTGGGATTATAGGTGCCCACCACCACGCCCAGCTAATTTTTAATATTTTTAGTAGAGATGGGGTTTCACCATGTTGGACAGGCTGGTCTTGAACTCCTGACCTCAGGTGATCCGCCTGCCTTGGCCTCCCAAAGCACTGGCATTCCCAGTGCATTTCTAAATGTATCGCCCTCTCCTCAAAGTTCCCACTGGAAGTCTCATAGGCACTTCACATTCAGCATGTCCCAAACGAAACTCACCAGCTCTTCCCCATTGTTCAGTGATCGTAATTTCTGTTACCACTATCCACCAGATACCCGGCCAGAAATTTGGGAAGCATCCTGGGTTCCAACTTCTGCATTCCCCACAACAAGTCTTCACATCCTATAGTTCTAGCTTAAAAAAATCTCCAAAACAGTCCACTTCCCTTTGCTTCTACTGCCACCTCCTTAGTTCACGCTACCATGATTTCCCCATGAATACAGCTAAATCTACTTAATTGGCTTGCCTATCCACTCTTTCCTGTCTCATATTCACTACAAACAGGGAGATCTTTCTAAAATCTAAATCTTATCATGTCACTCCTTTGCTTAAAATCATTCTATTACTTTTCCTAGAAAAATGTTCAAATTTCCAACTGTGCTTTAAAGGGCCCACATTGCAGACTTCATCTCTAACCACTCCCTTGTTTCCAATCCTACTAGATTTCCATCATTTCTTCAAACTCACAATGCTCTCTACTGTTGTACAGCTTATAGGGTGTTTTTATTTGTCATTTATATCCTGAGAATGCAGTGATGGATATACGGAATTACTTCTACTTCAGTACAGAGTATCAGACATTAAGACCACTCCACCCAGATTCATTAAAAGATTAAAGGGGCGGGGAGAGGGAATGAGGTACCAACCTGAATGAGCATCCAGCTAAACTGGCAAAGATACAGGTAATGTGTGACAGCAGCCATAGCTGAACAGCTCTCCTCAGCGAGTTGGGGACTTGCGTATGCAGACGCCAGAAACAGAATCTGTAAGAAACAGATACTTCTATTTTTAAAATATGCTAAAATCGATGAAGAATATTAAGAAAGTAAACTGCTTTCTTATCTAAATCTATGACTCAGTGATTCCATGTGAAAGTAAGTTGACTTCTTGCCCAAACTGATATGACTAAGAGTCATTCTAAAAATGGCAATATATGGATTTTTATATTTCTAAGAAACAGCGCATGATATGAAATTATGCTACATGTTGCTCTAGGCTCTCAAGAGAAAATTCTCAAAGTAAACCTTGTTCTTATCATTGATGAACAAAAATCCCATGAAATACATTTATTTTAGCAAAGTAGAAAATAGTGGAAATGCCACTCCTTGTGAAAATCAAAGCTAATGGGAGAGAAAAGAAAGAAAAATAAAATCCTTGACTTTACCATCACCTGCAGCCTCTTGCCAGGAAGTAACATAGATAACAAAATAGACTTAAAATGAGTTTAAAAATTCAAATTCTATGGTTATCCTAATTTTTGGATTTTTATTTCAAGTGCCTTCAAGCCTTTGTTCAAAAGTCACAATGAGGCCTCTCTTGACCACACTAAATTTCCTTCTCACACACATAATTCCCCTAACTCTACTTCTCTCTCACTCTCTCTCTCTCTTTTTTAACCAGCACACATCACCTTCTAACATGCTTTGTAATTTGCATTTTTTTTTTTTTTTGGCTATTAGTCTCACCTCCTAGAATATAATCCCTGCAAAGACAGGATCGTTGACTGTTTTACTCACTAATGGAACCCAAGCACCTAGCTCAGTGACTGGCACATGATAGGTACTCAATAAATACTTGCTGAGTAATGAGCAAGTGAAGTGAAAGACTCTTTGTGATTTCTATCTTTTTGTATTTTCTCCAATAAATGACTACTGTGTCAAATATTGCAATGATGAGTGTAGATGGCAGGGGGAAACTTGGAGCAATAATATTCTGCTGTAAATTCTCAATGAATAAACTCTGGCTCCCCCTTATAGACAGGAATCAACTTTTTGACTGTATTTTCAGAGGGTACCACTATGCCTGGAATATAGAGATGATCAATAAGCGTTTATTAAAAGAATGAATGATTTATTCCAAAAGGACAGAGGAAAAAACTAGTTGACTTATGCCTTAAAACCTCTTAACTTTTAAAAAGAAAACATGAATGCTTTTAATGCTATTTGAATTTATTAAAAAAACAATAATGTGCCCAAAAATAAATAAGACCATGGAACAAAATGTTGTTTAAATTTCAAGTGAAATATACCCTTCCCCAATCCTCTTGTTACCAAGGACATGTCCCTCAACTCCCCTTGAAAATTTCTACTCAAGTGTATTGGTAGGGCAGCATCCCTGTGGTAAATTCATTAGGATCTGCAGTGAGGCTTTGCATGTTCCCAAAATCTCAATTTCACAATGAAAGATGCACCTTAACCTGATTCCTCAGTCAATTACATAAGACCCAACATGCTAATTTAAAATTAATAATTATTAATAATCACCAATAATTTATTACTATAATTGATATTGCCTGTAAATTAATCTACAATATGTATCTCTTATGCCGAAGTGACTCTTCTTGGAAACTATTCATTAAGTACCTTCCTGTGCCTGCCTGATCAAGTATAGATTTTTAAAAAATCTTTTTTTTCAAGCTACAGACAGTGAACGAGTCATTTTCCCCTTCTACTTCCCTCATCAATAATAGAAGGAAGTTGGGAAAAATCAACTCCAAAGTCCCTTTCTACTCCAAGACTCCAGAACAATTTTTAAAATGAGAAGTACCTTGATTCAACTTTCTGTTTACTTAGCCCTAGATTTGGTGCATTTGTAATACACACTATTAAAAAGAACGCATGCCAGCATTTAAAGCAGAAAATAGAAATTTATGTAACATTATTTCCTGACAATCTGATACAAATGAGTTCCCTTAAAAAAAAAGTCCACAAATTCACCTTTCTAGAATGCACCACAACATAGCTTTTGAATTATTAGAGATTATGCTTATATTTTCCTTGACTTTTTTGTCTAATTTTACCATTTATTCTGACCTTTATTATAGGTCAGAAATTAAACCTTCCTAAATTCCACAATTATTCCTTGAACACCTTCTATGCACTAAGCACTGGAACTATGACTTAAGAGTATGGTATGGTTTAGCAAAAATAAATAAATAAAGGATAAAAAAGCAATCATTTTAACATTTCATGTTCTGTCTTTTTACAAAGGTGCATCTATTTCCATAAAGTCTTCATAAATTTACATACAATAAATTCAAGCCTTTCTAATTCAGATTCTATTATATGGATTGTGTTGAAGTTTACTTCGTAGTTTTGTTCTAATCAACTTATGTAGGTTGTTATGTAATAGAATAGTGTAATCCAAATTATAATTGAATATGTTTAGCTTTAAACATTCTATGAAACTATTTATAAGTATATGCTAACTTAAATAATTCTTTTCTTTTTCAATATGTTTTCTTTGAAGCAATTAAATCAGTACAGGTTCTTGTTTAAAACTGTATTTACTTTCAGAATAGTTTTAACATCCAAAATTCTATTCCTAAGCTATGATTTGATATTTTATTACACTCTAATCTCCTTTTCTAAATTATAAGAAGATCAGTTACAAATCTACTTTTGTAAATCATGAAAGTTGTTCCAGGTTATTATCTGAATTATGGGAATTGCTTCTGTCTGTACAGGAGATTAGTCAGCAAGAGGAGGCTGAGCTGTCACATTGCACACTGCTATAAAAGGGATGCACAAAAAATACTTGGAGAACTAGGTATTAAATGTGACCAGGCCTACCCAAAATTTCATTAACTTAATTTAAGACAGAAATAAAATGAGACCAAGAAAACAAAATAAATAAAATCTCCCAGCATATTTAGCTTTCTCATTTTTAAGGCTACATAACCTAAAAATAGATGGAGCTTCACCATTGTTCTTTTATTCAAACACATAGAGATTACCAGAAAAAAGGTTATTTTCACAGTCAGTTCTCTGAAAGCATTAAGTTGAACATGAACAGAAAAAAGGAATTTTTCAAAGGTTCTCAGTTGTTCATACATTGATTTATTCAGTATGAATGAGTGCTTAAGTACCCTCTATCTACAAAGTATTGTGCTGGGCAAGATGAAGTACATGATTACAGAAAACTGCTGTATACCAGCATGGCGCTACATGTTTTCCCTCGTTCTTTTGTGTATAACTCACATATTAATGATGTGAAACTATTATTGTTTGTATCCCAATTTAGTAAATAACGAAGGAAGAACTATAGGATAATTAACATGTTTAAAGGTCCTTAAACAAGTTTTAAATTTAAATTGGGATTCAAATTCTGGTATCCTGATTTGCAGGAGCAGCATTCTTTCTTGAGCACCATGCTACTGCCTACAAAGCTAAATCGAGCACAGTCCCCTCTCGAAGTGCTAACATTCTAGGTCACTGTTTCTCAATTCGTTTTACTCCATGGCCCACCACAGGCTCATAATGACAATCAAATATAATGCCAAGAGCAAATATAATACTATTCTCAATTCCATTTTTATATAACATATACACAACTTAAGAGAAAAGAAAAATAAATATAGTTCCCCCAAAAAGTATTTGAGATATTCTTTTTAAAATGACTTATAAAATTCTCTGCTTATTCTGATTGCTTAGAGCTCTACTGTGCCAGCCAACGAAGGAAATGAAGAGTAAATACTTTTTAGAAAACTTAAATATACAGCATGTGTCCCCGCTTGCTTGGGCTAAATAACAACTAATGATAAATATTAGTTTTCCTATAAACCTCAATTCTCAGTGCTCCTTAATATATACACCCTCCTCCCTCAGTTTACTACGGATACTCTCACTCCTTTCCCTATAAAATTATTCTTGAAATGACCGCCACCCCCCCTTTTTTTTTTTTTTTTTTTTGAGACGGAGTCTCCCTCTGTCACCCAGGCTGGAGTGCAGTAGCACGATCTTGGCTCACTGTAACCTCCGCCTCCCGGGTTCAAGCGAATCTCCTGCCTCAGCCTCCGGAGTAGCTGGAACTACAGGGCGTGCCACCATTTTTTGTATTTTTAGTAGAGACGGGTTTTCATCGTGTTAGCCAGGATGGTCTCGCTCTCCTGACCTCATGATCCGCCCGCTTCGGCCTCCCAAAGTGCTGGGATTACAGGCGTGAACCGCTGCGCGCGGCCAAAACTAGTCAGTTTTTAAAGGACCAGCTCAAATTCTACCTGCTTACTCTGATCATGGCAGATACCTAGACTATCCTATTTTTTAAAGTGGGAGCATTTTGTTATCGAGCATTTATAATGAGCCAAATGTAGTTCTTTCTAATAGACGGGTGCCTAAGGGTGAAGCTAGACACATGATACAATAAAATGTGACAAGTATTGTAGCAGGGTATGGAGCAAAATATTAGGAGAATGCAGAGTATTAGGAGAATGAGAGTATTAGCGCTGCTTGTGGGGATTCAAAGAAATTTTCAGAGAGAAAACCCAAGTCCCATCTGCCCCACTTTCTCTTGCTAAGTTTATCTTCCATAAGACTCTTCGTACACCATTCTATCCAAATGCATTTACTGCTATTCCCTAAACATACTTCTTCATGTCTTGACTCTTGCCTTTGTTCTTCCTCTTCCTTTTATCTAGAATTTCTTTTTCTCATCTTCCCAGGTTGAACTCATGTTTACCTTTCAAAACGTGGTAGAACTCTGTCATGAATAACTGGAAATTCTACCTGCTTACTCTGATCACGGCAGATTCCTAGACTTTCCTACTTTTTAATACCTGGTTATTCCTTTCAATCATAAACAAACTTTTCCTCCTCTGAATTTTTAAAATAAGATTTTATTGTAATAATTTTTCTTATAAATCTCGTTTTAAATAAAATTAATTTTAATGTCTTCGAAAACTGTCAAGTTCTTAAAAACAATTTGATCCTATCCATTCTTATAATTATTTTAAAGTACATTTTTGTAAAAAAGAGAACACGGCAAGCATCCTGTACGGAATTCTATCGAGTTTGAACATAGTAGGTGTTTGTTTAAAAAACAGCTTTATTGATGTATGATTGACAGACAATAAAAGGTGCACATTTAGAGTATTTGACTTAATAGGTTTTTGCACCTGTGAAGCCATCATCACAATGAAAATAATGAACCCATGCATCAGCCCCAAAAGTTTTCTCCTGCCTTTTGTAGTACCTCTCTGCACCACCACCACCCCTACCACCCTAGGCATACACTGATCTGTTTTTTGTTTTTTTTTTTTTTTTGAGATGAGTCTCGGTCTGTCACCCAGGCTGGAGTGCAGTGGCGCGATCTCGGCTCACTGCAAGCTCCACCTCCTGGGTTCACGCCATTCTCCTGCCTCAGCCTCCCGAGTAGCTGGGACTACAGGTGCCCGCCACCATGCCCAGCTAATTTTTTGTATTTTTAGTAGAGACGGGGTTTCACCGTGTTAGCCAGGATGGTCTTGATCTCCTGACCTCGTGATCTGCCCACCTTAGCCTCCCAAAGTGCTGGGATTACAGGCGTGAGCCACTGCGCCCAGACACTGATCTATTTCTAATACATTAGTTTGCATCTATTAAATTTTATATAAATATAGGCATATGTGCTCTTTTGTGTCTAGTTTGTTTCACTCAGCATAATTATTTTGATTTTTTTCCAAAATAATGTACCAATTTTTTTCAGCACCATTTGTTGAAAGACTCATCTTTCCTCCAGTAAATTGCCTTTGGATACTTGCCTATATATGTGGGAGTCTATTTCTGGACTCTCTAATCTGTTCCCTTGATCTATTTGTCTATGTTTACACCAATACTACATCATCTAGGTTACTGTAGCTATATTTCTTGAAAAGGGTAGTGTTAGGTTCTAATTTATTCTTTTCCAAAGTTGTTTTGGTTACTCTTAGTCATTTGCATTTCCATATGACTTTTATGATGAGGTAGTCAATTTCTACAAAAGAAAGCTGAATTTCAATCTGGGGAGAACTGACATATTAACAATATCCACTCTTGCATCTCATGAATACAGTGTCTTTCTCCATTTATTTAGGTCTTCTCTAGCTTCTCTCAGCAGTGTTTTGTAGTTGTCCACATATACCTCCTTCACACATTAAAAAAAAAAGATTTACCCCTAATTCTTTTATATGTTTGATATTATTGTAATTGATATTTTTATTAAATTTTAGTTTCTGATCATTCCTTCCTGACACATAGAAATAAAATTTATTTTTATATATTGATCTTGTACCCTGTAAAGTTACAGAATCACATTAGTTTGAGGAGCTGTTTTGTAGATAACATTGTATTTTAAATATAGGATCATGTCATCTCTATATAAATAGGGTTTTACTTATTTGCTAATTAGAAAGCTCTAATTGTCTTATCTTGCCTATTGTACTTGCTGGGAAAAATATATGCACACACACATAAACACACACTATTAAATAGAGGTGGCAAAAATGAACATCTTTGTTTTGTTTCTAATTTTAGGGGGAAAGCATTCAGTTTTTCAGCATTAAGTATTGTTATGGGCTAAATTGTTTCCTCTCCAAATTCACATGTTGAAGTCCCAAACCCCAGTACTTCAGTATGTAACTGTATTTGAAGATAAGGTTTTTAAAGAGGTAATTAAGTTAAGAAGAGGTCTTTAGAATGGGTCCTAATCCATTATGATTGGTATCCTTACAAGAGGTGAAAATTTTGGACACAGACACGCACATGCACAGAAGAAAGACCACGTGAAGACAAAGGGAGATGATGGCCACCTAAAAGCCAAGGAGAGAGGCCTCAGAATGAAGTCAACCCTGAAGACACCTTCAACTCAGACTCTAGCCTCCAAACTGTGAGAAAATTAGTGTTGTTAAAGCCATCCAGTCTGTGTTACTTTGCTATGGCAGCCCTAGCAAACAAATAGAAGTATGATGTTAGTTACATAGTTTCATAGATACCTTTATTAGGTTAAGACCATTCCTTCTATTCTTACTTTGCTGTTTGCTGGGAGTTTATTGAGAATTGATATTAAATTTTGTTAATTATATTTCCCTATTGAAATTATCCAAAATATTTCTTTTTCTTTTTCCCTTTTTCTTTTCTTTTCTTTTTTTTTTTTTTTTTTTTGAGACAAGGTCTGGCTCTGTCACCCAGGACAGAGTACAGTGGCACAATTTTGGCTCATTGCAGCCTCATCCTCCTGGACTCAAGCAATCCTCCCACCTCAGCCTCAGAAGTAGCTGGGGACTACAGGCATGCACCACTGGCCTGTCTAATTTTTTTATTTTTTCTTTTTTTGTAGAGTCAGGGCTTTGGCATGTTGCCTAGGCTGGTCTTGCAATCCTGAGCTCAGGTGATCCACCTGCTTCAGCCTCCCAAATAAAAAATATTTTTATTTTAGTTTGTTATTAATTACATTGATTAATTTTTGAATTTTAAGTCATCCTTGCATTATTGGGATAGCTATCATTCTGTTGTGATATATTATCCTTTTGACTTGCTAACATTGTATTAAGAATATTTGCATCTATGTTTATGAAAGACATTGGTTGGTAGTATACTACTTCATATATAGCATGAAAACCTCACAATAACATACTTTACTATTTTCTCTCCTGATCTCCTGGCATATATTCTACTTTTATATATGTTGCAAACCTCACACTACTTTGCTATTATTTTTTCTTCAATAGTTAATTATCTTTAAAATAGATTGATACTAGGAAAAACTTCATATAGTAATATATATACACATATATTTATATATACATATATGTAAAATATATAACATATATAGTTAAAATATATACATATATGTTATATATATACTATATGTAATATATATATATATATAAACAGTTGAAATTAGAAAAAGGAAGCAAAATTAGCCCTCACTACAGAATTTTTATAGAGGTATTTTAATATGCTTTTATTTTTTCTCTTTTCTTTAAAAAGCCATCTTCTGAGAAACAGATCTTTATGAGTCATTAACACCAAGACTAGTCTTTTTCATCTGGTATACAGCCAAAGAAGTACTAATTTATTTTTATAAGAAATACAGCAACAATAATAATAGTTACCATTTAATGAATGGTTTTCATGTGCCAGGTACTGTGCTAAAGGCCCTAGAGATATTATTTCATCATATTTAAATAATATATGCAATTTAGAGATCACTTCTTTTTTATTGCATAGAGAAGGAAACTGAGGCTTAATAAAAGTAAATACATTTGCCAAGGGCACAGACCTAAGGAAAGACTTTTTTCCTGCTTAATTATGCTTAGTAGAGATTGCCTGGATGATGTGCCACTTGGAATAATGCCATACTTAGTTTCCTGCATTTTCTGTATCTTTTCTTCATTACCTTGTGCCCACATAGCATGTTTACTTTTTTTTTTCTGGGCTAGCATCTTTTTCACTAGTGTTTCTACTCAGTCCCTTAAGAGAATATTTAATTGTCAGGAATATTCTGTCAATACTAAATCTTAACATTTGCTGTTATTGATAGCATCTTAACATTACAGCTCTTTCCACAGATGTCACACAGTTATGCCTAAGATACAACAGATTCAGGACTTGAGCCAAGTCTGTTGACTCCAAAGCCTGTGCTTCTAACCACTTTTAATACTTAAAATAACCACTTAAAATCACCGATGCTAGCATGTACTCCAAAAATCACTAAAGCCACATACTCATACTTCCTGTTTGTATAGGAGATTCTCTAGAAGTACATAAAGTACCTTCATTTGAAGGAAGAACAACGAGTGCAAAGGCTGGCTGAAATATCAAGCTGAAACATCAAGATCATTTGAATATTACAAAGGTTGAACTAAATTTTACACGTAGATTTGGATTTTCAAAGTCACATTTCTCAGTTCTGTAATGACAGTTTACGAATTCTGTGGAAACAAAACAGTCTCTATATCTGGAGTGAACATAATTAAATTCTTTACATAGATAGCACACTAAGGTTTGTATTCTACTACTTTACTGATGGTACTGAGTCGTTACTCAGAAAATTCAGATTTTAGATAATTTTGTTGTTGTCATTATTGTTGTTGAACAATTAACTTGTGACAAAACCATGTTCATTTTTTCATTTTATTTTGGTAGTGGATACATGGCCAGAATCTGAATACAACTGATACATAGTCTGAATACAATTCAGACTCTACAGTCACTTCAAAATTGTACAGTAAACTTATTTGAAATATATAATGGGAAATTGCTGTTTTTGCTTCATAAGTTATCAATTGAAAATATTTTGATTCAACTTTCTTATGGAATTCCTTGGACTTAGATAAGCATACATATAAGCTGGAAAGGAAACCTTGTTAGATGGAATTGAAGAGAAACTGAGCAAGACTAATAAAATTCTATATAAATCTAACAATAGTGTTTATTAACTCACAGGCCATTGCCTAACCTTACTGTGCAACCTCCAAAGTTTATACTTTCTCTGCCTGACAACATAAAAGAAATTAATGTGTTTTCTCTAAGTGCAGTGACACTAGCTGTTTCTTATAAATTAAAAAAAATTGTTATTCCTCCCATTTTACATCGAGGATATGATTGCTTGTCCTTAATTATTGAGAGAGTTATCATTTCCCTGCTACATACACGTATATTTTTAACTACAGAGCAGAATTCCCAAATATTTTATCCAACATAAAGTTGACAGAGAAGCCAACATCAAAGACTACTTTTATTGCATAATTGCTTTAGTTAGAACACTTTCCCAAGTACAAAAGTGTTGCATGACCTATAAAAAGATAAAAAAAGAGGGGGAAAGTATTTCAATATGAGAGCATTTTACAAATCAGATCTTTTCATTCCTTTATCTAATCATTCATTCATTCCATCAACAAATATATTCTGTGTGCTTGCCACATGCCTGATTCCAGAGCCAAGGTTCTGTTATTTTAAATCACATTCTATTTCAGGTTGGGGGTTATTTTGAGAAGGCCTGGGATGTTTGAATAAACAAACATATAAAGGACTCTCTGCTTTGGGGCAGCAGGCCAGAAGTATAGACAATAAAATATACAGGTCTTTGGAATACAAAATTGGGAAATGCATTATTTTCAGACAGAAAGCAAGAAAAATATTATGATTTTGGTTTATTTGCTCATCAATGAGGAAGAAATGTGTCTGAGTCAGTTCGGGCTGTTATGACAAATGTTATTACAGAGACTGGGTAGCTTAAACAACAAACGTTTATTTATCATGGTTCTAGAGGATGGAAAGTCCAAGATCAAAGTGCCAGAAGATCTGGTGTCTGGTGAGGACCCACTTCCTGGTTTGCAGACGGTCATCGTCTCATTATGTCCTTACATGGCAGAGAACAGAGAGAGAAAAAGCGAGCTCTCTCTGGTCTTTTCTTCTAAGTGCACAAATCTCGGTCATGAGGGCTTCACTGTCATTACCTAATTACCTCCCAAATAAAGGCCCCATCTCCAAATACCATCACTCTGTTAGGCAACTGCTAAATGGCAGAAACAATGTTTGAGGAACATAAAGATTCAGTCCAAAGCAAATCAGAAACATAGCAACCAGTGTGTGCCATTAATTCACTCTAATTAATTACTCTGCTTCCTAAGCCACAAAACTACTATTAAGTAAATATCCTAGTAGGTAGAGGATTATATAGCACATAAATAACTTACTTGTTTACATGTCTCAAGTTAACCTATGGAAATATAAAATCATGACTAAACTCAACATTTTGGCCTAAATTGAATTATACTAGGAATAGAAATAATAAAAGAAAATGCAACATATGCACAAATATATCAAATGTTTATACTTTTTAGACTTTATGTTTATAGATAATGCATCATAGTCATAATTTGAGCAAGTACGAGAAAAGGTAAAGATGTTGAAAGGCAGTTATATTTTTCATAAAGTGACTTCCTTTATATGTCTTTAGGATTTTGTTCAAATGTTTTTACTTAAAATGTTCTATCTTGGTTTGATAGTATGGCATGCCTAAAAAGCAGCAGCTACTAACTCACCAGTTCTGTCTTTTCATATCTCATTCAGCTATTTAAAAAAGTGAATTAGTATTTTCTAACGTATAATAGAAAATATGCTAACCCATACAGATCCAACATTTAGTGAGCACATATATACAAATCAAAGCATTAGCAAAGTGCTTTAAGGGATACTAAATTTCATCCCCCACTCTCACCCACAGGCTTTTTAATCTTTATAAATAGGATGTTAAAAAAAAAAAAAAAAAGCAAGGCTGGGAAAAGCAGCCCAATATTTTACACAAGGTTTTACATGACATGTGGATATCTAATATATTTTGTTATCATTAAAAAGCCACGTTAGCTGAGTTACCCCTTAGTTACCTTAATATTTGTTTAAATATAGAAAGTCCTTTTTAATCACTATTGGTAATTATTTGATCAGTCCATTGGCATAGTTAAAATAAAGGAGTATAGCATAAATTTGATTAACATTTAAAAATAAAACACATGCCTACAGGTTTTTAAAGAAAACAGTTCCTATCTTTTATCTAGATTTTTAAGGAATGAAAAATGAAATAAATTTTCTACAACCATTACCATACTATTATGCTGTTCTTTGCACCATTTCCCCTTTAAGAATTATGCAAGAAAATTATAACAATTATTACAAAGAAATGGCACATATTAGTTTTATAATTATTTTCAATTCAAACTTTTACTTCAAATTACATTAAATACCTAAATTTTTATATGTTTTAAACTTTGAATTGTTTTTCTTCAAGAGCTGTTTTTATTTTGTGTGACTGTTAGAGAAGAAATATCAAGACATTTATGAATTGTTAAGAGTCTTCATTATCTGAGTAGGTCAGTTAAAAAACAAAACAAAACAAAAAACTCGCAAACTGATAAAAATAAACTAGATCCTTCAAAAAAATCCAGTATTACCAGAATTGGAGAAAGAAGCATATAAATTCCAGAACTGTCCTAAAATATTGAACGCTGTGGGAACACTGAGTAATATTTTGACTCAACTAAATGAGGAGGGAAGTAATCAACATTTATTGTATTCTTACAGTGTGGTAGGCTTTCTGTGATTTCTACAGATAGGTTATTTCATTTTAATCCCTATAATAGTCTTATAATGTTATTGTCCCTGTGTGATAGCAAAGGTAACAAAGGTCTGACAGCTAACCAATGACAAAACTTGCATTGGGCTTACCTGACCTCAGCTCAGTTCTCTTTTTGCTATTCTCTGCTGCCATTATGCTGCTTTACGAAAACTTCTGAAACTCAAACAAGGGCTATCATGAGTTCTTTGAATTAATGGAGATGCAATTGAGATTTTTTCACATGGCTTTCAAAAATATTTCTGTTAATACCAGTGTTCCCGTACACTTGGTCCAAGCTAACCAATGAACCTCACTGGTGAGTAAAATTGTGGTCTTTTCAATGAATAATCACTAAACTGGTTTTCCTTTTATGTGAACACTAAAATTTATATTCTCGCACTGACAAAATAGGTGACAAAACAATTATCAACAGAAAATTCAAGTGGTTATCTTAAAAAAACATGTCCTGATACAGACAATCCAGTAGCAAATAGGAAATAAAATAAAGGAGTACTGTGTGGAAGAAAACAAGGCAAATCAAGAGAGACAAGTCAAGATCTACATAAAAGTTCACTTCCGAATCTAATGGCGGAAATTTTAGAGGAGATTTGAATACTTTTCACTTATTACTATCTATACAGACAGCTCACCTGAGTTCAAGTCCCAAACAGAAAATTTGGTTCTCCTAAGTCATAAAATAATATTTGGAGTAAGACAAGGACTTCTGGAAGCTCAACTGTACTTTAATCATATTACATGTCCTGGATATCTATAGATCAGCCTTTCAGCAACTTCAAGTATCCAGAATGCTCCAGATGTCAAGATAGCCCATCCTTCCACAGACTCCAGTGTTTATCATGACCCCCTCCCTCCATCATAAATGAATTTTAACACAAAGGTAGTACTCTTGAACAGCAAGTAGAAATAAAGATGAAAAGGGCACAAAGATAACTAATGGTATTCCACAATTGGCTGATCAGAAAGAAAAGAGCATGCCAACTGCCTAAGAACACCCATAGACAATCAGTTGTTTTGAATGAAGGTGAATTTTCTCTGGAGAAGTGGCAGAAATCAAAAGAAAGTCAGAGAGAAAACAGAGGGAGGTGGAGGTGGTAGCAGCAGGTCATAGAAATTAGCAGTGGAGGCACTATCTTGGCAGTGGTGACAACCAGTACTAAAAAGAGAGAAAGAATTTTAAAAGTACAATGCAGACTATGGGCAAATATAAATAGTATAATGAAGTTTTGGACAGCCACATACAACTTTTATTTATTTTACATCTGTAGAAATTCCAGTCTTCAGTCTTTAGAGAAAATTCTTACTTCAATAATTACAAATAACTGAGCTTTATCAGTATTCCCACTGATTTGCATGACAGTATTATGGCAATTTAGCTATTGTCTGGAAAAATTAATATAGCTTTATATACAGTATAATTTATATCTTAAAAATAGCGTCAACTCTTTATAACTTGGATTTCATGAATCAAAGTTCAGATTTTAAGCACTTTGAGGGCAGGGATCTTATTTATTGACATATCTCTAGTACTGAGCATATTGGCTAAGATCTGATAATTACTATATAGTTGTTGAATAAACATTTGTTATATGCAGTATTCTAACTTATTTAGAAATATTTACAAACCTATGATTTAAAATTTAAGTTTGAATTGGAGACATTCACTTATTGGTAGCCCCATTAAAAGTTATTTACTTTAACAAATACATTATTAACTATAGTACATGTCAATTACTGATAGCCCTGGCACCTAATAAAACAGAAATTGCATTAATGTAAGTAAAATGCTAGTTTTTAGGAGTAAACAGTGAAAAAAATAAAATAAAATTTTAGTTACTAGGCTCTATTTAAGTCATGGTCATACGGTATTAGGTTTAAAACTTAAAAATGTCAGGAAATCATTAAAATCCTATTGTCTATTTTCAAGAATCCACAATAATTACAGAAATGTAATTCACTCTTTCCTCAATAAATGACCACAGGTAACTTCAAAACATGTATTACTTAAAAAATCATCCAGAATGCTGACTTGTCCCCAATTCAGTTTTGGAAAACAAGCATTCTTATTGCCTCTCTACAATCCAATTAAACTAGTTCTTCCCTAGCAGGCAGAAACTACCTAGCACTGAGGTGGGCTATACGGACGACATTACAGAGCAATGAAATGTTTCCTACTTGGAAAGAGAGGACCATCTAGATGCAAAAATGAGCAAATGCCATTATCAAGGCATGAGTTACATACCAGCTTCCCTTTTGCCTATTGTTTTTATGTTTTCACCACAGATTTTATAACACAATTGCTTGCTCTGCAAAATGAGAATGAGGATATAAAAGAAGAGCGAGGCTTATCTTTGTTGTGACCTATAATATGAAATATTCATCATTGTTTTTTTAATTAGCCATATCATCCATAGGAAGAAAGAGAGATACAGGTAACAGAAAAACATTATTTATAATTCATTTACTATTATGCAAGTTGATCAGAGATAAATACTCAAGCCTAAGCTCTCACTACAAGGTGCCAAGTTGAAATTTTGTTCCCCTTCAACTAAAGTACTCCCGCTACTCCAGCATCTGTGCATCACTCAATGGTTTAAGTTACTCAAAATTTTGACTCCCTTTTTTTCTTTATCCTGTATAATTGGTTCTCAAATTCTATCAGTTATATTTTTAAAATAGTTCTTAAAGCCTGGGCGCAGTGGCTCATGCCTGTAATCCCAGCACTTTGGGAGGCCAAGGTGGGTGGATCACCTGAGGTCATGAGTTCGAGACCAGCCTGACCAACAGGGCAAAATCCTGTCTCTACTCAAAATACAAAAATTAGCTGGGCATGGTGACGGGCACCTGTAATCCCAGCTACTCGGGAGGCTGAGGCACAAGAATCTCTTGAACTGGGGAGGCAGAGGTTGCAGTGAGCCGAGATCACCCCACTGCACTCCAGCATGGATGACAGAGCGAGACTCCATCTCAAAAATAAATAAATAAAATAGTTCTTAAATATGTCCATCCTTACCCCTTTCCACTATTATTTCTCACCTGGAATACTTCCTCTCCACAGTGAACAGTGTAATTGCATTGATATATAGCAATATACATACACTAAGAGAGATATACTAATATATCTTAAAGTGGGAATAAGACATTCCTTTTCATCCAGGAGATAAATGCAGTTTAAGATGTGGCATGGTACTTTAAAGTCTGTTCATTACTACATTTTTCATTGAAATGGGTACCACATTTTAATGAATGTATCTCCAGTTCTCCGACATTCAGAAACATTCAATTGTTAAGATGCTGATAGGGATCATGGACAAACCATTGTACAAAGTTCATGTTTAACATGCATTATTCTGGAAATGATTAACAAAACTTCAGTAAAGGCATCCTTCCTTGTCAAAGAAACACCACATCAGAGCACTCTGTACTGTACTGAGTCACTTCCAAAGAGTCAATGCACACAGTCCATTTTAAAATAAGAGGGTTGGGCTGGATGAAATGTAATATACCTTGTCTTACAGCTCTAACATTCTATAATTTTATTTTTTTTGCTTCTTTCTGGCTTATCATTCAAAAGCATTTCAGAATACTTGCATTAGACTCTAACCAAATCTAGCCATTATGTGCAAGGGCACTCTGTTATGCAAAAAGCCCCTAGAGAATTTCCCTGTAGTGGGAAGGTGATGTCCTCTTTCTATTTTTCCCACCACCTGTCCTTTCAGTAACTTATTCTGGAACTTGCTCTTCCATTTATTACCTCTAACATCTATATCTATAATGTTTCTTACTAATTCCCCATTCATTTTTAATTTTATAGTCATCAAGAGGAATACATGTACTACATGATTTGCAAGATCGAATAGTTTTATAAGGTCATAACAGAAAAGTTGTTAAAACAATTTCTACCTGGGATTTCCCTTTATCATCACCTTAAAAATTTTTTAGATGGAAGTTTAACATACACACAGTAGGGTGCACTCACCTTAAATTATAGTTAAAGTTTACACACAGACCCATATAAAGTATAGACCCACAAACCAGATCATGGTATAGAACTTTTCTAACACCTTGCAAGGCTCTCTCATTACCCTGAAACCTAAAGTATTCATGTATACTTGCATCATCATCATTAATTTTGCCTATTCATGAACTTCATATAAATGGAACCATGTAGTATGTGCTATTTCCTGCCCGGTTTCTCTTAACAAGTATCTGTGAGATTAACCCATACTGTTGCATGTAGCAATATTTCACTTTTTTTATTGTCGTATAGTATTCCATTGAATGAATACAGGAAAATGTATCCATTCTACTTCTGATGGACACCTGAGTTGTTTACTATTTCATGCTAGTGTTAATAAAGCTGCAATAAATATTTTATACACAGACGGCCCCGACTTATGATGTTTGACTTACAATTTTCTGACTTCATGATGGTGCAAAAGTGATACATATTCAGTAGAAACTGTGCTTGGAGTACTCACACAACCATTCTGTTTTCCACTTTTAGTACAATACTTAATCAACTATTTGAGATGTTAAACACTTTATTATAAAATAGACTTTGCGTTAGATGATTTTGTGCAACTGTAGGCTAATGTAAGTGTCAGAGCTTGTTTAAGGTAGGCTAGGTTAGGCTATGATGTTTGACAGGTAAGGTATATTTAATGCATTTTAAACTTATAGGTTTATTGGGATGTAACCCCATTGTAAGTCAAGGACCATCCCTACTTGTTTTCTATGGGACATTTCTCTTGGGTATTTACCTAGGAATAAAGTTGAAGGGTCATAGGATACCATGTGTTTATACGTTAAGCAGATATTCCTACTGGTAACACTTATGTTATCCACTGTTTGTTCTTCTTAATCTTAGCCATTCTAGTTGGTGAACAGTTGTATATCATTGTGGTATACAACATACTTCAATGTTCTTTAACTTAGGTTCCGTGGTCACCTAAGGCCAAGATAACCTTTTAGTCCTCATCCTACTCGCACTGCTTGGTATTTTATATTACTGACCATGTCCTCTTTCTTTATACTTGCTTGCTCCTAGCTCACCTCCTTATAAAACATAAAAATTTCAGACTTTGGAACCAGACTCCTGGATTCAAATTCTAATATCACCTAGTAACTAACAGAATAATGTCAGGGAAGTTACTTAACTTTCTGAACTTCATTAGTGATAGCTTTAAAATCAAGTTAATTATATCTGCCTTGTGGAGTAGCTGCATAGAATAAGTCATAATTCATTTAGTATATCTCAAACATTTCTGCTCAAGCACCTTTGTAAGGAAAGGATATGAATGTCTGAGTTCTCCTGGGAAGTCTGGGGCTACATCTTTGCCAAAGACTTCTTTTGTGTTTACATGTGAGTGTGTGTGTCACATTGAATCTTTTAAAACTCATCTGCATTTTATAATACTTGTTGCTCAATATCATGTTTATTTAAACTACATATTAATGTCATTATGCCATAAAATAACATCAATGATTGATGATATAGGGAGATAGGACATGTGGATTCTCGTTTCACTCTGAAAAATTATTCTCTGTGCCTGGAGGATAAACATACCTTTGTTTGATAAGACTTTTAGGTAGAGTGCCTGTACTGACCTTCCTCACCCTATTTCAGGACCTGCTTTCTCTTCCTCCTACCTCCCTTAAATATTGGTGTTCTGGGCCTTCTTTCATATGTCTTTTATATCCCCACTTTCATCCATCAATACTCTAATGCCGTCTACACCTGTATTTTCGTTTCAACTTCTTCCTGAGAATCACATCAACATTTAAAATAATCCACTCATCAAGGATTTCATGATGAAAACATAAAAAAATTAGAACAAAAGCAAAAATTGAAAAATGGGATCTAATTAAACTAAACCCTACAGAATGGGAGAAAATTTTTGCAATCTATCTGTCTGACAAAGACGTAATATCCAGAATATACAAGGAATTTGAACAAATTTACGAGAAAAAAAACCCCATTAAAAAGTGAGCAAAGGACACGAACAGACACTTCTCAAAAGAAGACATTTATGTGGCCAACAAACATATGAAGAAAAAGCTCGATATCACTGATTGTTAGAGAAATGCAAATCAAAATCACAATGAGATACCGTCTCATGCCAGTCAGAATGGCAATTATTAAAAGTCAAGAAACAACCAATGCTGGCAAGGCTATGGAGAAATATGAACACTTTTGCACTGTTAGTGGGAATGTAATAATTTACATTTAGTGGGAATGTAATAATTCAACAATTGTGGAAGACAGTGTGGTGATTCCTCAAAGACCTAGAACCAGAAATACCATCTGAAGCAGCAATCCCATTTTTGGGTATATATCCATAGGAATATAAATCATTCTATTATAAAGATACATGCACGCATATGTTCACTGCAGCACTATTCACAATTGCGAAGACATGGAATCAACCCAAATGTCCATCAATGATAGACTGGATAAAGAAAATGTGGTACATATATACCATGAAATACTATGCAGCCATAAAAAGGAATGAGATCATGTCCTTTTCGGGGACATGGATGTAGCTAGAAGCCATTATCCTCAGCAAACTAACACAGGGACAGAAAACCAAACACCGCATGTTCTCACTTATAAATGGGAACTGAACAATGAGAACACATGGACACAGGGAGGGGAACAACACACACTGGGGCCTGTTGTGTGTGGGGAGTGGGGGGAGGGAGAGCATCAGGATAAATAGCTAATGCATGTGGGGCTTAATACCTAGATGATGGGTTGATAAGTGTAGCAAACCACCATAGCACACGTTTACCTACGTAACAAACCTACGTGTCCTGCACATGTATCCTGAAACTTAAAATTAAATTAAAAAAAAATCCAACCAATAAGTATAGCCACACAGATATTGCAAAATGATTATGTTCAAATCTCAATTCATTATGTTATCTTTTGCCAAAGTTCTACCTGTCCATCTCCACTAATGGAGTGATTCTTACAATGTAATTAAAAAGCCTTACCATGATCTTGCAATGCCCTATATGATCTTGCCCTATCTACTCTGTCACCTCATCATCTATACCACTGTGCCCATTACTCACTCAGCTGCGGCACTGCGGTCCCTTCATTTTCTTGAACAAACCAAGCCCTTTCTTGTTTTAGATTCTTTGCACGTGCTCTTCCCTTTGCCTGGGATATTCTCCTTCTAGGTGGTTCTTGTCCATCTTATTTGTCTCAGTTCAAACGTCATTTCCTTCGGAAGATAATCCTTGATCATATTCCTTGTATTACTTCTTATTGTATAAGTCTGCTAATTGTCCCTCCCTCCCTCCTTCCCTTCTTTTTTTTGAGAAAGGGTCTCACTCTGTCACCCAGGCTAGATAGAGTACAGTGGCAAGATCTTGTCTCACTGCAACCTCTACCTCCTGGGGTCAAGTGCTCCTCCCATCTCAGCCTCCAGAGTAGCTGGGACTACAGGCACACACCACCATGTCCCACCAAATTTTTGTATTTTTTGTAGAGACAGGGTTTCGCCATGCTCTTCTCAATCTCCTGGGCTCAAGTGATCTATCTGCCTCAGCCTTGCAGGGTGCTGGGATTACAGGAGTGAGCCACTATGTCTGGCTGAAACTATTATATTTCTTTATGATAACTTCAGCACCCAGCACAAGCTCTGCATCAGAGTAGGTGTTCAATAAATATCTGTAGGATGAAGGCATTAGGTATCATCCACTGCTCCCTTTCTCATCTAGTACCCTCCCTCAGTGGAGTTTGATTTTAGTCTTTTGGCCCCAAGATAGTAATCTGCTGTGTTGAAAACAAGCCCTGGATTGGCCAATGCCCTCCTATGGAAGTCTCTCACCAATGCCCTCAGTGTTGGTCAAGTCCATGTGACTGAGCATCCCTTAGAGGCCCAGGAGCCCTGCTACCCTCTGAAGCCCTGCTTGAACCACAGCTTACTTGATTGGGAAGGTGGGAAATAAGTGGTCTTGCCTCCTCCTAGTTTTGGTGGGCTCAGTCTTCCTCTCTCGTTATTGAAGTAACCAGTTTAGAATATTAAAGAGAACAGAGAAGAACAAAAAAAAAAAATCTGTTTTTGGAATAGGAAGAAATTCAGTTCATTAGCCATGAAGTGCCCTGTGGTTTTGCTTTTTTAACCTCAGGATTTAAAGAGGGCCTGGATTTATAAACATATGTTGAATTGAACTGAAGGCATCTGTAATCAACACTATAACCATGATTGTGTTGGTGATATTTCTAGTAAGATAAAATATGTTTACAGACAAGCTTTTTGTTTAGTCATGGCCTAAAAATATTAATATAGTCAATTATTTTCGATTTAACCACAGAGTCATCTTTTAAGTGCTTAGAAATTTTGGAATTTAATTTTAAAAAGTAAATATTCCTGAATTAAATACAAACAAAATCATGTTTAATCAAAAGGACTTCCCATTTTCTCAGCAATAAAATTAAATGGATTTTTCTTCTTGACAGCATTTAAAGGTCCCAAAGAGGAGTTTCAGCAACACTGTACTGTGAAAAGTGTCAAAATTGATGACATGTTTCCAACAGTTTGTCAATTAAATAATTCGAACTAATAAATTAACTTCCATGAGAAATAATCATCCTACATCTTCTTAAATTAAAATGAGTTATATTATACTCCTATGGGAGAAAAAATATTTGAGGTATAAAGGTGTTTTGGGTACCAGCCAGTCTGAGCATAAAAGTGAATACTGCTTGACATACATTTAGATTTGGGGTCCAGTTTATATAATCTCTAGTGTATTTACTACATAACACAGAATGAGTGTTTACTATACTTAATCAGAATATACAACCTTGGTTATCTCTTTTATAATTCTCTCTTCAAAACCAGGCAAACCAATTGGTATTTCAATGTCATGTGTTTATTTTTTCCTCTTTTTCTTCAAGTAGGACCTAAAGGGAAGGTACAGTACAATCATCATAATAAAAAAATGTATACATGTAAATGCCTGCTGCCCTGATTCACAGAGCAACTTGGGGTCACTGGGCATCTGTAAAAAACAGAGTCACATACTACTGGAACTGCAAAATACCTTAAAGACTAGCAATTCCAACCCCATTATTTCATCAATGAAGACAATTAGCCAGAGGGAAAAAAGATTACTTAATGTACTAAATAAATACTTTTTGGTTAGCTTTTAGGTATCAAAAATTATCCAGGCATTGAGTATATAGAAATGAATAAAATGGACTTAAAGCTTGCCTTCATAGAATTCCCATGTTAGAAAGATAAACCAACAAATTAATATATAACTACAAATATAGTAAATACAATAAAGATAATTTAAAAAGGGGGTTGGTACTGGGTTGAATAGTGCCCCCCCTACACCTCAATTCATGTATACCTGGAACCTTAGAAGTTGACTTTATTTGGAAATAGAATCTTTGCAGACGTCATTAGATAAAATGAGGTCTTGCAGAAGTGAGGTGGGTTCTAAATCCAATGACTGATGTTCTTATAAGAAGGCCATGTGAAGAGACCCAGACACACACAGGGAAGAAGGCCATGTGACCACAAAGGAAGGGGTAGGAATGTTGCAGCTGCAAGCCAAGGCACACTAAGGATTGCTGGGAACCACCAGCAGCTAGAAGGAGGCCAGGAAGGATTCTTCCCTACTTTTTAGATGGAGGATGCTGCTGGAAACATCTTGAATTTGGACATGTAACCACCCAGTTTACGGTAATTTGTTACATTAGCCCAAGGAAACTGATAGAAGCTCCACTTTAGATGGGAAGGTCATGGAAGGCCTCTCTGAGGAAGTGACATTTTAGCTGTGATCTTAAGGACAAGAAGGTGAGGGTCAGGTAAAGGTGAAGAGAGAGATTATGCAGGTCAGGGAACACAGCTTGTGCCACAGCCCCAAGATAAGGAAGAATGTGCCAGGTTCAAGAAGGTGTGTGATCTGTCCAAGGTCATAAGGCCAGGAAGTAGCAAAATTGGGACTTGATTCCAAGTCTTCTGATTGTAAGATGAGTGGTTAAAGCTTTTCTCACTACATCCCATATCTCAGAAGAACCTTAAGAACTAACCAACCCACCCACCCACCCCTTACTGTTCAATTTTCTGAGCAATTACAAGTGAAGTTGTAGAGGCACCACCACTGGCTAGAGGCAGGTGGTGCAGATATTGTGGACAAAAAATACTTTTATGAGAGACAGGGAAAGGCCAGCTTTAAAGAACTACAATCTGTCCCCCTAGCCAAAGCACCCTAAAGAACACATGTGACAGCCAGTTTAGTCAGTCATCAAATCTTGCTGATTACTTATTTAAATGTCTTCCTAACTCTTCATTGCAGAAGGGGCAGAAAAGGCTTCCTGGAGTCTATGACTTGGGTCCACAGGTCTTTTCCATTCAAAATCACCAATAGGTAACCACTGTGATAACCTTCCTAAAGTATTCATCATTATCTCTGGCCTGACTAAAAAGCTCCAAGACTCCCTTTTCCTACATAGTTATGGGTGTAGTTTAAAATCTGCCTCAAAATGGGTTTTGTTTGATTTGCCTAGTGTTTTAAAAATCCAGGTACTTCACACAATCGTTCAGATAATCAATTTCTCTTGAAAAATAAGAAGTCCTTGCCATAAGGAATGATTAGGTGGAGGTAAATAATGGCTTCCTCTTAGGGCACATATTCACCTGTTACCACCCCTTTTGCCAGTCCCTAGAGCCTCGCTGAAGTAGCTTCTCTGGCCCCAGAAGGCATTTGGGTTTTTAATCCCTGATCTAGAAAAAGATTAACTTTACAATCTTTAACCTGACCCCACTGTATCTGTAAACTTAAGCTTCTCACTAGTCTCAAACTCAGAACCCACTATTAACCCTGAGAAACTCTCCAATCTTCCATAACTATTTCATACTATTCCCTCTCCTCTCTCCTTTCAGCCAATGGGACCCCTCTTCCAGGGAATAACTCAAGTTATAGCCTTTTCCAAATACACCTAGTCCACTGTTTTTCCAGAATTAACTCCTTATTGTGTCTGCCTCTTAAGAGTTTTCTTAATTGATTACTACCTGGCATTGTTAGTTTATTGTCCAGTACATAAGTTTCTTCAAAGATTATGGGATCATCATAAACTCACTTGCTATCATCTTAGCACTCTGAAGCTACAGTACAGATTAGCTTTCATAAAATATTTGGCCAATGTACGGTGTCAATGAGTCGACAACTAAGAAAAAGTGGCTAGTTAACAATGCAAATTATTCACTTTTGGTTTAGATAAGATAGGCTTCTTGTACAACCTCTTATTTCTGGACAATTCCTTACCCCATGGGTATCTACCAAAGAGTGAGGAGGAATAAAGAACATGGTTTTCTTGCAAATTGCTCCAATATAAGGCTTTGTGAGAAGAAAAATTGAAACCGATGTCTAAAATAAGATTATTAGATTATTCAGGTTTTTCATGACTACAATTACCACGGAAAATTTAAAATCAATTGTATCATCACATATTGACTTCCAAAGTCATTACAATATTATGAGTTAATTCTGGATAGCATCTACTAAATGAAACATCAACATACACGCCTAACTTAGCTGTGGGTTTTATTTCATATGCACCTGAACTCAACTGGTGAGAATCTACCCTAAAGTTGCTGAATCTTCAAATTCCTAAGGATGTCTGCATGGCAGAGTGTTTGTGTTAAACATTTCTCCCAGTTTTGTCTCCAGTCCCTGTATTTTTGGTTGGGGGATGGGGTTGGCAGTGACTCCTAGAGTGAAAACCATCCAGCAGGTTTTAAATAGTTTTGGATTGCTGCCTAGTAGTAGTAAACCCTGAAATTAATGAGACAGAACTGATTTGACAATGATGAGCTTGAAAGATACCAGAAGACCTATAATCACCTTCTTGCCCACTCAATTTAACTCATTCTTAAAAGTCATTCTCATTTTAAAAAATGGCTATTTGTATTTTAAATATTCACATGACTGATCATATAATGTTAATCAATTTGACTGCCTTTACTTAAGAAAGTCTTTTGTAACTTTAATTTTCACCAGGTGTTATAAAAGATATCCTGTCTCTATTTATTTAGAGCAAATGGAGTTTCTTTATGCACATTCTACAATATTGTAACTAGATATCGTTTTGAAGGAGTTTTATTTGCTTTGGATGGTGTTATCTGCTTAGACTTTTTTTTTTTTAAGTACTTTTCCTTGCCATGATCTTAGAAATTCTCTAAAAGCTGGTTTTGTTTTCATTTTTTTCTCAGGAAATGTCCAAAACTAAGGATGCTATTTTACCAGTATCCACATTCAGTTCTAAATGGGAGGGGGGAAAAAAGCAAATCTCAGGAGGGGAAATGCAAAAAGCACTGCTGTAGCACAAACAGCTACTTCTGTGTCTCCTTCACAGAAGAATAAGAAGTTTGTGAAAACATTAGGCCTATAACCACACAGTTAAATTACATCCTCTAAATGGCCTTTACAGTGAACCTGAGAAATGAGGCAGTGGCTGAATGTAATTCCCCTCTGAGTGTGAATGCTCCTCCTTCCTGTGCTGGTCCCACCTCTTTTCTCTGTGTCACTACTAACTAGTGCCGGTTCAAACTGGCTGGCTCCAGCCTTTGCAGCATCCTTTCTCTCCTTCTGTGGGCTTTTGTTTGAGTTATAACAGAGCAAGGCTTTTTGCTTCCATGCAGTTTGTGAAATTAATCCACAAACTGAAAAACATCACAGTATATCACTCAATAATTTATTATTGACCTGGTTACCTGAAAAAAATACCTGGTACAAAACACCACCCTATTTATACCCAGTGCATATATGTTTACAATTAAACAGAGCATTGTACTGAAACTCAGCCAACTCACCTGTATAAAGTCCCATTGCTGGCAATGGCCAAGTATGGAATAAGAAGCAGCAGCAACAAAATCATGGATGATTCATAAATTCACAGTAAATGCCAACCATACCTGGCCTTTTGACTTAGCTTGGATTCTTAGTGAACACTAGATAGTAACACAGATAATATATTTTCTCTTTGTGGAATAGTTTGAACACTGAGTGTGCTCTTGTATTTCACAAAATCAAAGCAACTCATATTTTGGTTACAAGACAGAATCAGATTTATATCCAAGTCCTCAAAAGACAGTCAGTGAGGGGAGGTAGATTCTTAGCCTGAAATAACTGCAGTTCTTTTACTGCTCTGCTAGTCTGCAATAAATGCTAGGAGCTGTTTACAGGAACAGTTCTTCAGAAGAAAACAAGTCGACAATGCATTTTGAAGGCCTAAGGAAAATAAGAAGACCAAGTTATATGCTTGAGAAAACACGTTATTTCTGAACTATGTGAAGATATGAGGCTAGGTAAGAATGACAGGAACTTCTTACATGGAGAACTCTAAAATGGCATCAGGTTTGAAGGACAACATATATATGTCTAATCTCTCTTAATCTCTCCAGGAAATCAGATTATTGTCTATTTTCCACATGAGGCCACAGAGAATAATGGTCTAACTTACAGGGCTTTTCTAAGGTTCACATAAGAGTAGGACAAGAAAGTGTTTAAAAACCTGGAAATCACTATTCAAGTATCAGGTATTATTATTTTAAAGTCAAGTAAAAAAAAGCAATTCTGCCACCTGTACAGCATCTAAATTTTCCCCTAAAAGGTTGTTTATGAATTCTAAATATTATTCCCAGATGAAGAGAGACTCTTTATCCTAAGTTATCATTTTTTCCCATTTGCTTTCATAGTACTTTATATCCTTGTCATTTAGAGCATTTTATTTACAGTAACATTAATCCACAAATATCTTCACAAAGCAGAAGAAATTCAAATTGCATGGAAAGTCAGCTGTGAGCCTAGAGTGGAATTCACATTTCCTGACCTTCAGTTTAGTGTTCCATCTGTTAGGCGCTGGTATTTGAATAATGAACTCAAATTAACCTAATCGTCATTGCTCAAAAATTCATTAATCACAGCAGCAGATCAGAACAAAATGTGTAAGTCAGTGAAAACTAATACCCTAAAACTGCTTTTAAGAGTGATTTCTCACACAGCTACCTAATTAATGAGAGAAACTCTAATCTGTATCTTGTATCTAATTAAATATGGGCCCCTTCTTTGATTATGTTTTAAAATGTAACTTTGAGGTTTAAACTGACAATGTGCTTCCCTTTCATTGCTTTAGTTTAACTTTGTTTTCAAAGCTGGAAGAAGTGAACATGTTTTCTAAAACTGGCACCTTTGATTGATAGACAAATAAAACAGATTATCAGTCTTCTCCTGTGCTTATTTTATCTTAAATCCATAACAATAACATTAGAATAACTGATAGTCTTCCACCAGCATAGATTTACTATCGAAAATAGAGAAACACAAGTATATATGTATGTGGTTAGGATTTCTTGTGGCAGGTTTCTAGAAATGTAATAAGAATAAAAGTGGCTTCCCCTAGATATACTTCCTGGGTTGAAAGATAACAAAAGCAGATCCTAGAATCATCACTTTACTTTTCCTACCAATACTTTGTAAAATAAACAATCCTAGAATTATACTTTCTTCAGTGTTTCAGTGATTAATAAAAACCCTCTCTGAGCAAAGCTATTATTAACAATAAGCTGGAATGTAGGTTCCAAGAGGGTAGAGATTTTATATGATCTGTCTGCTGTCATATATCCAGTGCATAGAGCAGTGCCTGGCATATAATAGGTGCTCAATAAAATATGTGTTGAGTGAAAGGGAGAGGGGAATTAAGCAGAGGTTCTGGCTGAGGGAGCACCATCATATCCAGACTAGATCACAGAAAGCTTTCATACAAGTATTCACTGGGGAAGTCTTTAAGTAATATCTTTTGGCACTCAAACATCGCCAGTCTCACTGTTATCTTTTCCCTCCAAAAAACCATACTTTTCAATGTTTATGGTAGTATATTGCATTAGGAAGTAAATTATAAGTAACAGCCAAACAGTTCTAAGATTAAGCCAATCTAAATAAGAATAGCTTCAAGTTAATTCAAAGTAAACTTTTCAGAGCCATGAGTACCAACATGGATGTAAGGAAAGAAAAGGTTGCTTTTGTCCTAATTGACATTAAAAACTATTGAATGACAGACAACTCCAAAAAATTTTTTTTTTATTTTCCCCTCTTACTCAACCAGGCTGTTTGGGACTCTCAGTTCAAGATGCACAATGAGTTCAAGCAGGAAAGTCCACTCTAAATACATACCAATGATGGATTAAAAAAATAAGGTTGGGGAGTAAAAATGATGCCAAGGACAAATACAAGCAAACATTTTTTGTGAACCAGAAACGGAACAAAAATCAAGACACTGGGCAGGTACAAATAAAAGGCAATTAATAAAATCAACAATTTGAACATAAATGCACTTTAGATAAAATTAACTTTATGAAACAATCTGACAAAGGTATTAAAAGAATATGCTAACAATGACCAGAAATTAATAAAGACAAAACCGTCAATAAAAACAATGAATTCATAAAATATACACAGTCAGAAGTGAAATAAGAATAGGTAAAGATGAAAAACACAAAGCTTAAAACTGAAAAAAATACAATCACTGGCCGGGCGCTGTGGCTCACGCCTGTAATCCCGCCACTTTGGGAGGCCAAGGCGGGCGGATCATGGGGTCAGAAGATCGAGACCAACCTGGCTAACACGGTGAAACCCCGTCTCTACTAAAAATACAAAAAATTAGCTGGGCGTGGTGGTGGGTGCCTGTAGTCCCAGCTACTTGGGAGGCTGAGGCAGGAGAACGGCGTGAACCCGGGAGGCGGAGCTTGCAGTGAGCCGCGATCACGCCACTGCACTCCAGCCTGGGCGACAGAGCTAGACTCCGTCTCAAAAAAAAAAAAAAAAAAAAATACAGTTACTGCAATTAAAAGATACAATAAATGGGATAACTTTAAACTGGGATCAAAGGGTGAATTAATGAAGGGGTAACAAAAACTAAGGAACTTACCCAGAATGCAGCACAGAAAGATAAGGCTTAAAATTATGATGTAATATTCATGCTACAGAAAAGACCTCCAACAAATCTTCCAGAAAAAGCGAATGAAGGAAATAGTAAAAGTATATGAAAAGTATTGCTGAGAATTTTCCAGAATTAAAGAAATACATAAGTCATTAGGTTGAAAGTACAAAGTACTAAGTAGAAAAAATAAGGATCAAATATATAAGGTTAAACCTAGATGAATATATATTGTAATGAAACTGGAGAATCTTAAAGTCTAGTAGAAGGAGAAAATACAAATTATCTACATTAGAATAATGGACTGACAATAAACTTCTTACTGGTTACAACAGATGGTAAGAAACAATGAAATGATATTTTCAAGGTGTTAAGGAAGTATAAGTATTAACCTAGAATTTTATACCCTGTCAACCTATTATATTATGCAAGATTGCAGGCAAAATAAAGACATTTTAGACATATTACATTTTTTATCCAATATTATTAAATTAGAAATCAATAATTAAAAAGTAGCAAAAAAACCATATGTTTAAGAAATTTTAAATGCACTTCTAAATTAATTCAAGGAATTAAAATAGAAATTATTAACTGTTTAGGACTAAATGACAGTGAAAAGCACTATATGCTAAAATTTGTTGGAAAGCAGCTACGGTGATACTTAAAGGTAAATTTAGACTTAATTGTATCTACAAAACAAAACTAAAATAAGATAATTTAATTTAAAAGCCAAGTAAAGATAAAAATATAAACATATTAGGTAGAAGAAAATAAATAATAAGAAGATAAAATATTAATTAGAATAAAAGTAGAGATAGTCAACAAAACCATAAGCTTGGTTTTTGAAAATATCAATAAAATAGATAAAACTTGAACAAAGCTTAAGAAAAAAGGCACGCATTTTAAAAAGTGGAAGATTTTTATAGATTCAATTGATGTCATTTTTTAAAAATCCTAAAGAGATGCAAAAATATATTTACAAATTTGAAAGTAATAGATAGATATATTTTTAGATACAGCTAGAATGTGTGTATGTGCATGTATGTGTGTGTGTGAGAGAGGAGAACACCATAATTAATGTTAGAAATATACAGAAAATAAAAAAACAGAATGATCCAGTAATAACTAAATTGGATCCATAATCCAAAATGTCTTGGCCCAGAAGAAATCAAGAAGATTGGAAGAATACTGCAGAACATTGCTACTGTCTTTCTGCACCACATAGAGCAATGATTCATAAAGTCTAGGGTACATAAAAAGCATCCTGGTAACTTATTACAAATGCAGATTTTCAGGCCTCATCATGGAAGAGTCTTATTCTAAAACTCTTGAAAAGCATTTTTTTGTTGTTTTGTTTAGAGATGGGGTGGTCGCTATGTTGCTCAGGCTGTAGTGCAGTGATTATTCACAAGCACCATCACAACACACTACAGCCTTCAACTCCCAGGCTCAGGTAATCCTCCTGCCTTAGCCTCCTGGGTAGCTGGGACAACAGGTGTGTGTCACTGCCTGGGCTGGAAAAACTTCATTTGTAACAAGCAATCCAGGTTACCACAATCAAGGTGGCCTTCAAACCACATTCTAAGAAACACTGCCTCGAGTCATATGACATTCGGACACACATCTGTCCTTCCTAATTGTGCTGAACACATACCAGAGTTATGTGTATAGGTGTAAGGGCATAAATTTTGTGGGGCCCACAGACTTAAGAACTAAATAGCAACAACAACAAAAGCAGTATTAGAAAGTCACATGCCACATTTTTTACAGGTTTTTTTCTGTTGAATAACTATGGTTTTCCATAATTTTTAAAAGCATAATCAATCTCTATTCTCTATATTAGAAAGCAAAACATGATCAAATAGGTTACAACTATTCCCCTCTGCCAGCTGATACCAGTCAGGGTCTAGGAGGTGCGGAAGCTGGAACTGAATGTAGCAGAGAGATGCAAAGCTCTAGTACTCACCCCTGGCCATTAGCAGCCTCATTGTTAACAAATATAATTTTCTATATTTCTTATGACATCAAAAAGGCTTAAAAGCAAAACTATGGAGTATGTGAAAGTATTAACTTCTGTTTTGACAAACATTAGAGCTGAACAATCTAATTTCTCATTGGAGAGCCTTGAACCTTATTGACAGGAATAGGAAGGATTTCTTGTCTAGGTGAATATGCTTAATACTTTCACTGATTAAGCATTTACTGTTCTCCATTATAACTGGCACCATCATAAATGCCAGAGATGAAAACAAAGGAAAACAAAACAAAACTGTTATGGATTGAACATTTGTGTCATTCCAAAATTCATATATGAAACCTTGACCCCCACTGTGATGGTAACTAGAGATGGGGCTTCTAGGAGGTAATTAGGTTTAGATGAGGTTGGATGAAGTTATGAAGGTGGGGCCCTCATCATGGGATTAGTGCCCTTGTAAGACACACCAGAGAATTTGCTCTCTTTCCTTCTCCAAGTACACAGACAGAAGAGGTCATGTGAGCACACAGTGAGCTAGAGGCCACCTAAAAGCCAAGAGAAGAGGCCTCAGAATAAAATCTACTTTGTAAGTGCCCTGCTCTTACTTGCCAGCCTCCGGAACTGCGAGAAATAAATTTCTGTTGTTTAAGTCACACAGTCTGTTGTATTTTGTTATGGCAGCCCTAGCTGAGACAAAAACAAAACACCTCTGAAGAAGCAGTGGTCCCTGTGATCTCAAGGACCCAACAATTGAAAGTCTGGAACAACAATTCAAAAGGTGACATGATACCCATGGACAAGGTTCAGGATGGAGGACACAAACAAAACGCCCAGGGAACACACGAGAGGAAGTGCTTATCTCCTACCATGAGAGAGATCAGTAGCTGTGGGCAGGTTGCTAAAAGGAGCTGATAAACAAGATGGGCCTGAAAAGCAGGATTTTATTAGACTTAGAAGGGTAAGTGGCAGAATAATGTTCCGAAATAACCAAGGTTTTTTTCCCTCTGGTTTTCCTTTTCATCTGTTGTAGTCTCCACCCCTTCAAGCAATAGCAAGATTGAGCAGCATTCACCGCCCAGGGAAGACATCAATTATAAGCAGAATGAAGATAAGGAAGAGATCAAAGGCCTGGAAGAATACTGAGCAAGGGCAAGACTTCCCATGCTAGGCCAGAACAGATCTAGAGACCTGTAGGGTCGGAAGGGGAGAGATGAAGAGGAAGCAAAGAGAGTGAAAAAATGAGGTGAGACTATGCCAACTTCCAGCAAGAAGAACAGACAAAACCCCTGCAGAGGTTTAGGGATCTGAGGTCAGTAAGAACCCATGGCTACTTTTCTGAAATAGTTTCTGGAGTAGAAAGGCTACAGTCTGTGTCTAGGCAGCTGTGCCTGCGACAGGCCCCTTGCCTACCTCCCTAGATGGCTCAATGTTACAAGAGTCCCCAAAGGCCTACGTGCAGCCACAGAATAAGGCCAAAGGAGACCAGAATTGACAGATTGTTCATACCACCTAGCAGAATAGGGCTCAATTCAGCTGTGAACAAATAGTTATATTCCTCACATATCTCTGTGTGTGGACTGAGATTCACACCTGCTACAAGAAAATGGGCATTCCAGGCAGAAGGAACCTAAACAAAAAACAGAAGGATTGGAGGGCAGAGAACTTCCCGGGAGAACCAAGTAGAGGCCTAATAGTGAGGGTTTTTGAATACCAAATCAACTCAAAAGTTAGAGAGATTCTCTGAAAAGTTAGTCTCATCAACCAACTCTTCTGCACAAACCCTGCCAGTGACTTTCTATCTCATTTGGAGAAAAATTCTACTAGGTCCTGGCACATCTCACTAACTTCATCTCCCACCACTCCCCCTCACATTCCAGAACCAGACTCACTTACTGCCCTTAAAATAAACCTCAGGACTATATTTGCTTTGCCCTTTTATCTGGAATGTATCCCCCAGCTACATGCATAGCTTTCTTCCTCATTTCCCTCAGATCTCTGCTCAAATAGTATCTTCTCAGATACATTTTCCTTGGCATCCCTATATAAAATAGTTCTGCTTCTAACACTCTTAATCCTTTTACAACATTACCCTTTGTCATTGCAATTAATCCTACTCTGGTGTGCACCCCTGCCTTGCCACCACTACCACCAAACATAAACACCATGAGTAAATTTTGTTTGTATGTTCATTGCCGTAAACAAAATATAGAACAAGGCCCGACACAGAGCAGACACTCAATAAGTGAATGAATTGATGGGACCAGGTCTCAAGCTCTGAGATTAAAAAATTTGAGAAATCATGCTTTTTAAGTAAACCAACCACTTTCAATTTGAAGTTCATTAAAAGTCTTCAGAGAGTGATTATTCCGGGATCACTAATAACTCTAATTTTATACGTATAATTATATACGTGGGGCCTGCATATCAATATGTGACCAGCACAATGTGTGATGAGAGTGACTTTCACATGCCACTGAGCAAGTGTCCTTTTTATACAGTCTTGTTGCTGTGTGTTTTTACATGTATACATATATGTATGTGTGTATACTATGTGTATGTATACACACACACACACACAACTCACGACAAGCCTATATTCTCTGATTTTTTTTAATCTGAAAGCTTTTTCTGACACAAATCACTGTTTGTCTTTTGCAGCGATGCATTCTATGGTGACTTAATGTTTTCAATTGTTCACAACTGAGCTATACTTAGAGATCTATATGTTTTTACATTTGAAAATAAATATCAGGGAGAATATTACTATTTTAAAGGTAATAGTAGAACTTTTAGTGAACACTTGATATCAAACACATTGTGTTTTTCTAGTAAGTTAAGCATCTCTCCACAAACTAGTACCTTGAAAAACAAGTACCAACCAAAACATTTGGAAGTTGTTTTTGTTGGTTTGTTTTAAACAACAACAAAAAAGGCCATTTCCACTAGCAAACAGAAGCAAGGTACAAAACTTAGCTTAGTAACAAAAACACAAAAGATGAGTAAATACCCACAGGTTTTTATTGGGGAAAGTCAGCGGGACACCCTGGGAAACAGAGCTTGGAAAGAGTGCCTCCTAGTGGGCAAACTAACTCAATGTAGACGTGATGAGATGGAAAAGTACCTTTTACACGAAAATGAAATGGGATATTTGGGAAATCATACCACTAATGAAAAAACATTCACAGCCCTGAGAACTCATTTCCTGGCAAGTTACCACTTCCTTGAATTCTCTCACCTGCTAAAATGATTACATACAGATTTACCCACGAAGAAAATAAACTAAGCTGCCCTGCAATGCTTGAGAAATCCCTTCTAGCAAGTGGAAAATTTATAACAATTTATGTGGAGAAGGAAAATAAAACAAAGTGAGTAAAGTAAAAATCTAAAGCTAGAGTCCCTCATGCTTATCTTTGCTGTTTCAACTTTGTGCCTCTGCTCTTATGGACCATTCATTTTATGTCCACTAAATATTCAATTAAGTTTTCAGATTTTAGGGGCTTAAATTTATTTAAGCAGCAAGGAACATCAATTTTTCTCTAAGCCAATATACGGTAAAGGATTTTCAAGTATATGCCTGTCCAGAAAGAGTGATTTCATTTCTTTTCATCAATTAGGAAACATGCGTAATTATAGACTAACAAGTAGGAATTAACCATTATTAAAATATTTCTTTTAAGAAATTGTGTTGTCAATTTTAATAAAATGTTTGTTGAATTATGCTGTTTTCCATACTTCAACATAATCACATATAAAATTTGGCACATAAGCAAAATGATTTTTTTCTTACAATTTGTGATTTTTAAAAATATGCTGACTTCCAGGTAGAATTATATTACTTCAAGAAAAGCAAACATTTTACCTAGTGAAATTTGTCAATTTGGGCATCACTAGGAGAACTGAACTAAGAAAAGGAATTTGATTTATAGAAACTATTTGAATGTATCTAGCTCCATAAGTGAGCTAGCTTCATTAAGTGAGCTGGATACATTCTTGGATAAGTGACTAACTTTTTGGAAAACTCATCCCTTCCACATCACCCCTTTGCCCTAAATCTTCACTGTATAAACTTGTTTGATATCTGGCCCTTGATGACTTAGCTCTTGTTTACCAGTCCAGCCTCATCCCCCATGACTTCTCAAATTTGCATTACCCACCAGTCATCTTAAACTGCTGTTTCATTCTCTTTCTCCATCCATACACGACATTCTGTCGGATCTGCCTGCTTTTACCAGTGCTGCTTGCTTTGCCAGGACACACTTCCAGCAAGTACCTCCTTCTCCCTCCTCTCTCTCTTCACCTATAAAAAAATCTACAAATCTTTCAGCTTTGGTGTCATCTATTCCGAGTCACCTTGGGATGAACAAAGTGGCCCCTTCTCTGAGGTCTCATGGCACAAGTTCAGAAGTTTTCTTATCACTGATGCAACATACTAAAATATTCTGGTTAGGTTTCTCCTTCAAAGTTAGGCAGTAGTAATCCCAGATGGCCCAGAGGGGACCCTCTGCAAGTGTTTAATGAATTGGATATTCTATATTATGCAGGCTCTCATATTGTGAGAGATATTTCATTAAAACCTAGGTAAAATTATTGTTACCGAACATGAAACCACAATATTTCCTCATGTAAGTTATTTACAGTAGTGCAAGACCAAGTTGATTAGGGCAGTAAAAATTATCAGGTAAGCAAAGGAGGATTATAGTTTCTGCTTGAAAATTTGGACTCACGTAAATTTAGAAATAACTCTCTAGTATTTAAAAATTAAAATTTTGGCTAACACTAATATTTGGTCCTTTTTTCTTTGGTTAAAAAAGACACATAAATACTCAGACACAAAATGATACTGTTTCATTGACAAGAATTCATACATTGAATACCAAGTTATAAAAGTCCATGTACAAAACCACCCAGGCAATAAAAGTATTACCATTTGGTCGTTATGAATTTTAGATTATGTAGGAATGTTCTTGGCCAATTAAGTCTATAATAAAAATACGTATTTTTTTTAAGTTGGCATTCTCATTCACTATTTCTGTTTGTTTCTTATTTGGAGTTTGCCGGAAGGACTCATGATATGCCTCTGGCAACGTATTCATTTTGTTAGACCAGGACTGAAAGTAAATATTGGCATCGATGTTTCTAATAAGAAAGTAGAACATCTGACTCTATCACTCAGGAGGCTGTTGCAGCAAAATCACAGCATAATCTGTCCTTAAAATAGTACTGTTAAGAAATGTATTTTTTTTACCAAAGATTTGCTAGACAAATCATATATTTTTTAAAAAGAAACAACAAAAAGAAGATGTTTAGTGGTCAGGCCATTAAAATGGAAAGCCAACACCCATGGCTAAAATTAATGCCTATTTTAAATATAGACTGGCCTTTTAAAATTCATCTGCTATAAAACAGAATATGGATAAAAAACTAAACTAAAATACAAGCAGAAATGGAAACTTTTCTTAAAAATGATTTCTTAATGTTTCTGTAGGATACAGTCATTTACTTTCCTTAACGTTGTACAGAAAAAAAGAAACATATCTACATATTAGTCAACAACTTAAAGGTAGTCAATGCAGTATAATCCATACTGTACCAACTAATATGATCAAAAGCTATTTAAAGAAAATGTGCCTAATCATTAATAGTAACATAAAAAGAATAGCACTGAAAACAACTTTTAATCTGAGATGTTGTCAGCACTTAGAACAAATAACCTGGGGGGAGGAGCCAATATGGCCGAATAGGAACAGCTCCGGTCTACAGCTCCCAGCCTGAGTGACGCAGAAGCCAGGTGATTTCTGCATTTCCATCTGAGGTACCGGGTTCATCTCACTAGGGAGTGCCAGACAGTGGGCGCAGGTCAGTGGGTGCGCGCACCGTGCGCGAGCCGAAGCAGGGCGAGGCATTGCCTCACTTGGGAAGCGCAAGGGGTCAGGGAGTTCCCTTTCCAAGTCAAAGAAAGGGGTGACGGACGCACCTGGAAAATCGGGCCACTCCCACCCGAATACTGCGCTTTTCCGACCGGCTTAAAACACGACGCACCACAAGATTATATCCCGCACCTGGCTCGGAGGGTCCTACACCCATGGAGTCTCGCTGATTGCTAGCACAGCAGTCTGAGATCAACCTGCAAGGCGGCAGCGAGGCTGGGGGAGGGGCGCCCGCCATTGCCCAGGCTTGCTGAGGTAAACAAAGCAGCCTGGAAGCTCAAACTGGGTGGAGCCCACCACAGCTCAAGGAGGCCTGCCTGCCTCTGTAGGCTCCACCTCTGGGGGCAGGGCACAGACAAACAAAAAGACAGCAGTAACCTCTGCAGACTTAAATGTCCCTGTCTGACAGCTTTGAAGAGAGCAGTGGTTCTCCCAGCACGCAGCTGGAGATCTGAGAACGGGCAGACTGCCTCCTCAAGTGGGTCCCTGACCCCTGACCCCCGAGCAGCCTAACTGGGAGGCACCCCCCAGCAGGGGCACACTGACACCTCACACGGCAGGCTATTCCAACAGACCTGCAGCTGAGGGTCCTGTCTGTTAGAAGGAAAACTAACAAACAGAAAGGACATCCACACCAAAAACCCATCTGTACATCACTATTATCAAAGACCAAAAGTAGATAAAAACACAAAGATGGGGAAAAAACAGAACAGAAAAACGGGAAACTCTAAAAAGCAGAGCGCCTCTCCTCCTCCAAAGGAACGCAGTTCCTCACCAGCAACGGAACAAAGCTGGATGGAGAATGACTTTCACGAGCTGAGAGAAGAAGGCTTCAGACGATCAAATTACTCTGAGCTACGGGAGGACATTCAAACCAAAGGCAAAGAAGTTGAAAACTTTGAAAAAAATTTAGAAGAATGTATAACTAGAATAAGCAATACAGGGAACTGCTTAAAGGAGCTGATGGAGCTGAAAACCAAGGCTCGAGAACTACGTGAAGAATGCAGAAGCCTCAGGAGCCGATGCGATCAACTGGAAGAAAGGGTATCAGCAATGGAAGATGAAATGAATGAAATGAAGTGAGAAGGAAAGTTTAGAGAAAAAAGAATAAAAAGAAACGAGCAAAGCCTCCAAGAAATATGAGACTATGTGAAAAGACCAAATCTACGTCTGATTGGTGTACCTGAAAGTGATGGGGAGAATGGAACCAAGGTGGAAAACACTCTGCAGGATATTATCCAGGAGAACTTCCCCAATCTAGCAAGGCAGGCCAACGTTCAGATTCAGGAAATACAGAGAATGCCACAAAGATACTCCTCGAGAAGAGCAACTTCAAGACACATAATTATCAGATTCACCAAAGTTGAAATGAAGGAAAAAATGTTAAGGGCAGCCAGAGAGAAAGGTCGGGTTACCCTCAAAGGGAAGCCCATCAGACTAACAGCAGATCTCCTGGCAGAAACCCTACAAGCCAGGAGAGAGTGGGGGCCAATATTCAACATTCTTAAAGAAAAGAATTTTCAACCCAGAATTTCATATCCAGCCAAACTACGCTTCATAAGTGAAGGAGAAATAAAATACTTTACAGAAAAGCAAATGCTGAGAGATTTTATCACCACCAGGCCTGCCCTAAAAGAGCTCCTGAAGGAAGCGCTAAACATGGAAAGGAACAACCAGTACCAGCCACTGCAAAATCAAGCCAAAATGTAAAGACCATCAAGACTAGGAAGAAACTGCATCAACTAACGAGCAAAATCACCCCTAACATCATAATGACAGGATCAAATTCACACATAACAACATTAACTTTAAATGTAAATGGACTAAATGCTCCAATTAAAAGGCACAGACTGGCAAATTGGATAGAGTCAGGACCCATCAGTGTGCTGTATTCAGGAAACGCATCTCACGTGCAGAGACACATATAGGCTCAAAATAAAAGGATGGAGGAAGATCTACTAAGCAAATGGACAACAAAAAAAGGCAGGGGTTGCAATACTAGTCTCTGATAAAACAGACTTTAAACCAACAAAGATCAAAAGAGACAAAGAATGCCATTACATAATGGTAAAGGGATCAATTCAACAACAAGAGCTAACTATCCTAAATATATATGCACCCAATACAGGAGCACCCAGATTCATAAAGCAAGTCCTGAGTGACCTACAAAGAGACTTAGACTCCCACACATTAATAATGGGAGACTTTAACACCCCACTGTCAACATTAAACAGATCAACGAGACAGAAAGTCAACAAGGATACCCAGGAATTGAACTCAGCTCTGCACCAAGCGGACCTAATAGACATCTACAGAACTCTCCACCCCAAATCAACAGAATATACATTTTTTTCAGCACCACACCACACCTATTCCAAAATTGACCACATACTTGGAAGTAAAGCTCTCCTCAGCAAATGTAAAAGAACAGAGATTATAACAAACTATCTCTCAGACCACAGTGCAATCAAACTAGAACTCAGGATTAGGAATCTCACTCACAACCGCTCAACTACATGGAAACTGAACAACCTGCTCCTGAATGACTACTGGGTACATAACGAAATGAAGGAAGAAATAAAGATGTTCTTTGAAACCAATGAGAACAAAGACACAACATACCAGAATCTCTGGGACGCATTCAAAGCAGTGTGTAGAGGGAAATTTATAGCACTAAATGCCCACAAGAGAAAGCAGGAAAGATCCAAAATTGACACCCTAACATCACAATTAAAAGAACTAGAAAAGCAAGAGCAAACACATTCAAAAGCTAGCAGAAGGCTAGAAATAACTAAAATCAGAGCAGAACTGAAGGAAACAGAGACACAAAAAACCCTTCAAAAAATTAATGAATCCAGGAGCTGGTTTTTTGAAAGGATCAACAAAATTGATAGACCGCTAGCAAGACTAATAAAGAAAAAAAAGAGAGAAGAATCAAATAGACACAATAAAAAATGATAAAGGGGATATCACCACCGATCCCACAGAAATACAAACTACCATCAGAGAATACTACAAACACCTCTACGCAAATAAACTAGAAAATCTAGAAGAAATGGATAAATTCCTCGACACATACACTCTCCCAAGACTAAACTAGGAAGAAGTTGAATCTCTGAATAGACCAATAACAGGAGCTGAAATTGTGGCAATAATCAATAGTTTACCAACCAAAAAGAGTCCAGGACCAGATGGATTCACAGACGAATTCTACCAGAGGTACAAGGAGGAAGTGGTACCATTCCTTCTGAAACTATTCCAATCAATACAAAAAGAGGGAATCCTCCCTAACTCATTTTATGAGGCCAGCATCATTCTGATACCAAAGCCGGGCAGAGACACAACCAAAAAAGAGAATTTTAGACCAATATCCTTGATGAACATTGATGCAAAAATCCTCAATAAAATACTGGCAAAACGAATCCAGCAGCACATCAAAAAGCTTATCCACCATGATCAAGTGGGCTTCATCCCTGGGATGCAAGGCTGGTTCAATATACGCAAATCAATAAATGTAATCCAGCATATAAACAGAGCCCAAGACAAAAACCACATGATTATCTCAATAGATGCAGAAAAAGCCTTTGACAAAATTCAACAACCCTTCATGCTAAAAACTCTCAATAAATTAGGTATTGACGGGACGTATTTCAAAATAATAAGAGCTATCTATGACAAACCCACAGCCAATATCATACTGAATGGGCAAAAACTGGAAGCATTCCCTTTGAAAACTGGCGTAAGACAGGGATGCCCTCTCTCACCACTCCTATTCAACATAGTGTTGGAAGTTCTGGCCAGGGCAATTAGGCAGGAGAAGGAAATAAAGGGTATTCAGTTAGGAAAAGAGGAAGTCAAATTGTCCCTGTTTGCAGACGACATGACTGTATATCTAGAAAACCCCACTGTCTCAGCCCAAAATCTCCTTAAGCTGATAAGCAACTTCAGCAAACTCTCAGGATACAAAATCAATGTACAAAAATCACAAGCACTCTTATACACCAATAATAGACAAACAGAGAGCCAAATCATGAGTGAACTCCCATTCACAATTGCTTCAAAGAGAATAAAATACCTAGGAATCCAACTTACAAGGGATGTGAAGGACCTCTTCAAGGAGAACTACAAACCACTGCTCAAGGAAATAAAAGAGGATACAAACAAATGGAAGAACATTCCATGCTCATGGGTAGGAAGAATCAATATCGTGAAAATGGCCATACTGCCCAAGGTAACTTACAGATTCAATGCCATCCCCATCAAGCTACCAATGACTTTCTTCACAGAATTGGAAAAAACTACTTTAAAGTTAGTATGGAACCAAAAAAGAGCCCGCATCGCCAAGGCAATCCTAAGCCAAAAGAAAAAGCTGGAGGCATCACACTACCTGACTTCAAACTATACCACAAGGCTACAGTAACCAAAACAGCATGGTACTGGTACCAAAACAGAGATATAGATCAATGGAACAGAACAGAGCCCTCAGAAATAACGCCACATATCTACAACTATCTATCCTTGACAAACCTGAGAAAAACAAGCAATGGGGAAAGGATTCCCTATTTAATAAATGGTGCTGGGAAAACTGGCTAGCCATATGTAGAAAGCTGAAACTGGATCCCTTCCTTACACCTTATACAAAAATCAATTCAAGACGGATTAAAGACTTAAACGTTAGACCTAAAACCATAAAAACCCTAGAAGAAAACCTAGGCATTACCATTCAGGACACAGGCATGGGCAAGGACTTCATGTCCAAAACACCAAAAGCAATGGCAACAAAAGACAAAATTGACAAATGGGATCTAATTAAACTAAAGAGCTTCTGCACAGCAAAAGAAACTACCATCAGAGTGAACAGGCAACCTACAAAATGGGAGAAAATTTTCACAACCTACTCATCTGACAAAGGGCTAATATCCAGAATCTACAATGAACTCAAAACAAATTTACAAGAAAAAAAAAAACAACCCCCTCAAAAAGTGGGCGAAGGACATGAACAGACACTTCTCAAAAGAAGACATTTATGCAGCCAAAACACACATGAAAAAATGTTCGTCATCACTGGCCATCAGAGAAATGCAAATCAAAACCACAATGAGATACCATCTCACACCAGTTAGAATGGCAATCATTAAAAAGTCAGGAAACAACAGGTGCTGGAGAGGATGTGGAGAAATAGGAACACTTTTACACTGTTGGTGGGACTGTAAACTAGTTCAACCATTGTGGAAGTCAGTGTGATGATTCCTCAGGGATCTAGAACTAGAAATACCATTTGACCCAGCCATCCCATTACTGGGTATATACCCAAAGGACTGTAAATCATGCAGCTATAAAGACACATGCACACGTATGTTTATTGCGGCATTATTCACAATAGCAAAGACTTGGAACCAACCCAAATGTCCAACAATGATAGACTGGATTAAGAAAATGTGGCACATATACACCATGGAATACTATGCAGCCATAAAAAATGAGGAGTTCATGTCCTTTGTAGGGACATGGATGAAATTGGAAATCATCATTCTTAGTAAACTATCGCAAGAACAAAAAACCAAACACTGCATATTCTCACTCATAGCTGGGAACTGAACAATGAGATCACATGGACACAGGAAGGGGAATATCACACTCTGGGGACTGTGGTGGGGTGGGGGGCAGGGGGAGGGATAGCACTGGGAGATATAACTAATGCTAGATGACGATTTAGTGGGTGCAGCGCACCAGCATGGCACATGTATACATATGTAACTAACCTGCACGATGTGCACATGTACCCTAAAACTTAAAGTATAATAATAAAAAAAAAGAACAAATAACCTAAGGCAAGATTGGGACTGTTCTATATTGCAGCTTGCAACACTGACTGTATTGTTTTGTTTGATTTTTTTCTTCTACAAGAGTCTGAGGTGTGTGAGCCCCAGGTCAATGCAGCAAGCTGTTTTATGTATATATCCTAGTAAATATTTAAATTTCAGAGTTATATTTTAGTATATATTTAAATTTTATATATTTAAACACTTACATACTTTTTAAAAAACAATTTCTTTTAAATTGATTTCAAAGAAAATTTCTAAATTGTGTGGATTTTATAGTACATATTAAAAATTAGAGGCAATTTCTAACTTTAAAAATATATATTATCCTTTATATACATTAGGCTAGCCCTTACTATAATATTTGTTTATGAAAATATCCTTTTAGCTAATGGTTCCTTTAGCAGCATAATGAAAAATTATAATCATAAACTGCAATAAATCCTATCCAAATTATGTGATGCATGCACATTCATGTAATGCTCACAAGTTTCAAAGGATATGGTTTAGAAGGTGCAAAAATGCTTCTATTTCTCATAGAAATAAATAATTTGGTGGGTTTAGTGCTGAAAACACCCAAATTCTAAGCATAACTTCTTATAGGACCATTAGATAAGACAAAATACAAATCAAGTCCCTCAGTATAAATTTAGCAGGAGCCACTATGTAGCAGATACTCTGTGGAAGGTTTTGAGGGCTCCACATTGAACAAGATACAGTTTCTGCATGAGAAACTTAAGGCCTACAGGAGACCATGCATCAAGAACCAACTGTCATTAATATGATGAATGCTATTTCTAAAGCCTGAGGACCAGCCGTACCAGATCGTATGGGAACTAGTTACAAATGCAGATGCTAATTCAGTAGGTCAGGTTGGGTCCAGCATTCTGCATTTCTAACAAACTTCCAAGTGAGGCTGGTGCCACTGGTCTGCAGACCACATTCTGAGTAGCAAGGTTTATATAGATGATAACACCGGGAAAGCAGCAATGAGCTCTGCTTTGGTTAGTTGTAAGGTTATCTAGGAAAGCTACTGATAGGAGGTGACCACTGTAGAGGAAGAAGGGAAAAATAGCTTTCCAGACACAGGAGACTCCGAAAATAAAGACATAAAGCTATGAAAATACACGACATAGTAAGTGACAGTGAGCCGGCAAATGTGTTCAAAGTATAGAATATAGGGAATGAGTGAAAAGCCAGAGAAACAACCTAAGGCCACGTTGTAAGTATTCTATATACCTGTCACATGTCATATAGTTTATCCCATAAAAATTTCAGAGGCCACAGAGAGATACTGGACTTCTTAAAATTTTCCTGAAGGGCAACAACAAAACACCAATATTTTAGAAAGATAACTGACATTAACATAGGAGATGGATTGGAAGAAGAAAATATAATCAGTCAAAAGACTATTTGGAATAGTTTAAGCAAGCGATGTTGACACCATACAGTGTGGCAGTGAAACGAGGTAAAGAAGGAAAGGCCCTGGAAGACATTTATGAACCTATGTGTGGCACAGATACGGGACTGTCCACCAAAGTCTATCCTCCAATACTGATAGAGTTAGGGCGAGGGGGTGGCTACCCACTTAGGTGCTGTTTTTCTTAGACCCCTTGCAACCAGTAGAGTGTGAATAGAAGTGATTGAACAACTTAGGCCCTGCTTATGAGTCAGTTTTTGACCCCGGACTTGCACTGTCCTCTCTCCCACAGGCTGGAAGGATGACCTCGGAAGTCACATGCTGAAGATGGAAGACATGTTGTAGTGCTGCATTGACCTGGGGCTCAGACATCTCAGACTCTTGTAGAAAAAAAAAAAAAAAAAAAACAAGACACAACTTTATTGGGTTTGGTCTTACTTATTATACATATATGCATTACTACATTAATATATCTTGTTCCAGCAGCTTAGTTTTTACTTTTAGCCTCTAGAGGATTTAGTGATTTAAGTAGCCATGAAGGGTAAAGAACACCAGGGATTTCACAATGACTAAATTTAACAGCACAGATGGCAGGGTTGATAGTGTGCCATTATTTGAGTTAAAGAAAAAGCAAAAGAAATTGCAGCTCTGGGGAGATGATAATAAACTCACATTTTGAAGGATGAAGTTTATGTTACTTGTGGGATATCCTGTTGGAGATATTCAGTAGGTTTTTAGACAGTCCTGGATCTGAGAAAAATATGAAAGGTTTATAGAAGCCAGATGCGGCAGGGAATACATAGGGAGAGGTTGTGCAGCTAGAAGAGAAGGCAGTCAATTACAAGACCCCCAGAAACCAAAAGCAATAAATAAATAAATAAGGAAGACTGTCATAAAAACAATGTTGAATGATGAAACAAAAAACAAAAAATAGGTGCTAAAAAACACACCCATTCACACAGTGTGATATTATTTAAAGAAAAGTTAAAATATACCAAAATATGACATGACACATTATGTACAGGTACATACTATGTAGCAAAAGAATATTTAAAATGCATGTGATTGTAAACATGCAAGTTTGGATAATGGTTACACTTTCATTTGGGCATGAAGGAACATACAATCTGGGAGGAACACATAGGGAACTTGAAATTTGTTGATAGTGTTTTATTTATTAAAATGGAAGCAGGTACAGAAGTGCTCACTTTTTACATAGTTCACATGATTTGATAACAAAATTTAAACCTAAAATGCAGAAAAGAAAGAGAGTTTTACAAAGTAGGATGCAGTTAACAATAACAAAGGAAGATGAGAAATAGAAAATGACAATTGAATTTGACAGCCAGTAGTTAATTAATGACATTTAGAAGAGGAATTTTAGTAAGTACAGGGGAACTGAGTTAGATTTTTAAAAAATGGAATGTGTAAAATTCCACATTTACATTCTAAACATTACACTATTTTTGTTGTGCTATTCACTCTAGGAAATTGCCTTATAATGAGGAGAAATAAATAAATTTTACATTCTGTAGTAATTAGAGGAAAAGATACTAATGAGATGATAACTGCTCTAATTCATCTAATAAAATATTTTTGATTGGGTTAGTTTATTATAGGAATCAGCTATAAAATATTAATCATTTCTCACTAGTATATTAGAAATAACTCTTAAATCTGTTAAAGGTACATAAATTCTAGTGGGCACCTGAATGTAAAATAATGAAAAGTAAAAAGACTCTGAAGAGAAATTTTTTTTTAAATTTAGGAAGCCAGTAAACCATTTTCAAAAGAGTATTTGTTATGTTCTAATATTTGCGTCTCCCCGAATTCATATGTTGAAACTCTAACCCGTAAGGCGATGGCATTAGGAGCCTTTGGGAAGTTATTAGGTCATGAGGGTTCCTCTTGCATGAATAGGATTCCTGCCCTTATAAAAATGGCCCAAGAGAGCTCGCTGGCCCTTTCAGCCACATAAGGACACAGTGAAAAAACGTTTATAAACCAGGAAGTGGGCCCTCACCAGACACTGAACCTGTTGGCACTTTGATTTAGAACTTCCCAGTCTCCAGAGCTGTGAGAAATAAATGTTGGTTGTTTATAAGCCACACAGCCCATGGTAATTTGTTATAGCAGCCTGAACAGGCTAAGACAGTTATGTAAATATTACTCTTCCAAAATATTTTTCTTTTTTTTTTTTTTTTTTTTTGAGATGGAGTTTCACTCTTGTTGCCCAGGTTGGAGTGCAATGGCACGATCTTGGCTCATCACAACCTCCACCTCCTGGGTCCAAGCGATTCTCCTGCCTCAGCCTCCCGAGTAGCTGGGATTACAGCCATGTGCCACCATGCCCAGCTAATTTTGCATTTTTAGTAGAGATGGGGTTTCTCCATACTGGTCAGGCTGGTCTCGAACTCCTGACCTCAGGTGATCCGCCCACCTCGGCCTCCCAAAGTGCTGGGATTACAGGTGTGAGCCACCACGCCCAGCCCAAAATATTTTTCCTTTCTATTCTAGTAGTACATACATTTAATGAGTTCTCAAGCAATTATCTGTATTTCCATTAATGAAACGACACTCAAAGCTTAAACTAAAACTTACCTGAATCACAAATACATTTAATAATTATAGTACATTTTAGCAAGAAAAGAGATCACTTTGAGGAACAACTTTAATTTCTCAAAGTCCAGTTGTTATTTTTTATCTCAGTTATAGTCATAATCACTATAAGACCCAGAAAAATAAAGTGAACAAATTAGAAGGTGTAAAAACAGAATTTTATATGTATCAACTACACCTCCCAATATTACTTTCTCTTATCAACATCATTTTGAAGTCTCCAATCCTATCTAAATACCATCTGTCTAGTAATCAGAAAACATTGCTTTTATGATCGGGCAAGGCTTTCTCTTTCATCCATTGTTTGGGAATATATAGATGCTGCTGAGAAGTATATATGAGATAGGAACAGTAGATTTGGGCTAAAAGGAAATAATTACATGAGTTCTATGCTCCTTTACGATTCTGTGGTTCTTGATCTGGGTGACAGGAAGGAAGCTAATAGCAGCTGGAAAATATTAAAAACTAGAAAAAGAAGTTTGGATTTGATATCTGAGGATGCATGTAATTTGAAATGTTTTATGTATTGCCAGAAAACCAGAGGATGATCTTTAGCAGGCAAATTAAAACAAAGCTTTTAGAGAAATGTAACTCAAAATGTATGAGATGCATCAGGCAGGGTAGGGCAGGGTTATGTTCTATGGCCAGATTGATTAGGTCTCTGGGTTATGCACACTGTGAATTCCTAAACCAAGGACAGACACAATTAAAGGAGGAATTGAGAAAGACCCCTATGGCTGGTGTAAATTTCTTCCACTAAGAGGTAAAGAGAGGGAGGCCTTGGTTGTAGTAACATAAGAAGTGGAAATATAAAATAATGGTTTAAATAATCATTGTGGAGTAAATATACATGGGAGGAAGAAAGCCTATCATATGCAAGACATTGCATAACATGTTTATATATAGATATCTCATTTAATCTCCATAACAACCCTGGAAACTTATTATTATTTACAGTGTAAAGACAAGAAAGCTGAGGCACACAGACATTAAGAAACTTAGTATCCAAAGTTATAAAAATACTAACTAATGGGGCTGGAATTCAAGCTCAGATATATGTACATTCAAATTCTATAATTGTTCCACTAATCTTTGCTATCTACCTCTCACACCGAACTTGGTGACTCATGGATGTAGAAGATGCAAGAGATAAAATCGCTGAAAATAGCCCGAACATTGAAACCTAATAATGTGATTCTTAATAAAACAGATCTGGCCACTGGGAAATAGATGTTTGGATCATTTCTCTCCGGATCTGGGCTTTCACTTAGTCTAGTAGATGTGGTCCGTCATAAAACCATTGCAGGCTTCCTGAAAGTCAAATTAGGCTTTCTGTGGGGTCACTAAAACCAGAGCTGGTCCCAAACATTGGGACTACTTCCTACAAGATTTAGCACCTGCCACAGCCACCAGATTGGACTGATCCAGCACTCTAAACTGATCTGAACTGTGAAAGCCAAACAGCCTTAGCAAGTCTATTCAGATCGTAGGATCTAATATGCCTCAGTCAAATTCCAGTTTCTGCTCTTGCTAGTTGTGTAACCTTGAATTAGGTATTCATCCTTTTGCAGCTCATTCTCATTTGAAAAATGAAATAGTGAAATATATCTGCCTAAGAGCTACTACCAATAAAGACTAAATAAAATAAGACAGATAAAGTACCCAGCATAATGAGCACTTTACAAATGCTTCTTTAAAAAAAATGATAGTGGTGATGATGATGAAGATGATGATGGTACAAATGACAGAGGAAGAGGGAGAGGAAGAGGAGAAAGAGAACAATAAAAACTCAGATTCTCTAAGCATCTGGATTTCTTGGTATTTGTGACAAAGCCTGCTTTCTGCTTGGTAGCACGCTTTCTGTAGTCAAGGGATAATAAACAATACAAAATGAGACTCTAGCTGGTTTATTCTTTTAAGGAAAGAAGTTGGTTCTCTCAATAATAGAGCTTATCTCTCAATTATACAGGAAACTGACTTCCTCAGGAGTTTGGCAGATTCAGAGCTTGATATAAGCTTGAAGAATGTGAAGCAGGTTACACCTGTTGATTTTGTTTTGATTCACTGAAGTTTTGTTTGCTTATTTTGAGTATTCCCACTGCTAGCACATGGTTGGCACAAGCTGTAGTAGTTAATTTTTATCCATTCTTGATGGTTGTAGGTAATTTATATCTTTAAAGTTTTTATTGGTAATGACTTAAAAAGTCACTTAAATTAGAATAACCTACTTGGATCTAGTTGTAGGCACATCACTGTATACATCTCTCTACTTCCAGGGAACTACCAATGGCTCCATTTATAAACATAGCTATTTGTGGCATTTTCCCCTTCTTTTCATTTTTGGAGTCCTGAAAACAATGAAGATTTAAAATGAGTTTAGTAATCGATAATTCCCAATTCCAGGAAAGTTGTGGTGAAACAAGCACTCATTGCTGATAGTATTGTGATTGCTACATCCCTTATGAAAGCAATGTGGCAACTACAAACAGCAAGGTTTGTTCATTCTTTTCGATATGGTCTGGAAATGATTCAACAGAGAAATCAAATGATACTGCACCATTGTTTTCTACTAACTTACAATGAAATATTCAATATTATATGAATAATTTAATAAATTGAGATACACAAATATACATTCTAATTAAAAATTTGTGGCAGGGCGCGGTGGCTCACGCCTGTAATCCCAGCACTTTGGGAGGCCGAGGCGGGCGGATCACGAGGTCAGGAGATCGAGACCATCCTGGCTAAAACGGTGAAACCCCGTCTCTACTAAAAATACAAAAAATTAGCCGGGCGTAGTGGCGGGCGCCTGTAGTCCCAGCTACTCGGGAGGCTGAGGCAGGAGAATGGCGTGAACCCGGGAGGCGGAGCTTGCAGTGAGCCGAGATCCCGCCACTGCACTCCAGCCTGGGCGACAGAGCGAGACTCCGTCTCAAAAAAAAAAAAAAAAAAATTTGTGAACGCTGAAGAAACAAGGAAAATATTCCCTATAAAATTAAGTGAAATAGAATATGTAAATTGAATATCGAATAATATGTACACTGTGGATGAAACTATATAAAACATTGCTTCTTTACCTGGGGTGCACATGAAATCACCAGCAGAGCTCCTAAAAATTCAATGCCTGGGCCTCATCAAAAAGGAGGCCTAATCAATTGATCTAGAATTGTCCCCCAGTATTAGTGGTGAATTTGTTGAAAATTTAAATTTCTTTTAGATTTATAAAACATTGTAATGATGTTACCAATTAAAAAATATCTTCATATATTTAAATGTTAAGTCAGTTATTAAATTGTCATTTAAAATGAAATGAAAAATTATTATATTAAATCCATGTTTTAAAAAATTGCCATTGCCTTATTAAATATAATCCTGCTTCTAAACAACTCACTGGGATGGGATTCTTGAAAAAAAAAAATCCATAAAAACATAATTAAGGCTAGGTTGCCCCTAGACTGAATACTCAGTGAGAGGCCAATGACATCTTGCATCCAAATATCCCCTCCTTCCTATCTCTCCAATTCCCTAAGCCCTGGTGCTAGTTCACACTCAAAAACCTCTTAGAAATGCTACAGAAAGGCCAACATTCTCTGCCCATACCCTTCTAAACCAAAACCTGCCACCTTAAATATAAGGGGATCAAAAACTTTCAAGGGCTTGAAAGTATGAACAAATAAATTATGTTAGGTATGGCCAAACGCCTTACCATTAGAGTCTCAGTGTTTATACACATAAATCATGAAATGCTAAACTGTTAAATATGTGCATTTTTACAGTTAAAATCAACTAATCTACCCCTTTGAAGTAATTAATCTTAGTACTTTGTTTAATGATGAAGCGTGCCAACTTAGCATGATCAGCACCCACGGGGGCTGGGGGAGGGTCTTCCCATCATAGGTCAGCCAGCAGCACCCCCTTGGTAGCATGCATTGATCACAGTGGCTAATTTTAGAACTTGATGTGTATTTTTTACTTTGTTCCCACCCTCTTTCCACCAATCTCACAATCAGCGTTAATTTTTGCAGACTCCTTTTGCCTTTCTAAAAGAGTTTAGCCTTCAGTCACAACGGAAAAACAAATAAACAAGCTTGTGGACCTAGTCATGCTCAGTTCATGTGGCTCTTCCCCAAATTCCTGACCAAAGGACACAGAGATTAATAAGTAATACTAAAGTCAGGGGGATTAAACAGCCACTGAATTCTTAAGTCAAAATCCAGTCATTCTACACAACAAATCTCAAAATAATTATTTTAGCATCAGAGTCCTTTAAACCAGATTACTGATCATTTTAAATTCTTTACTTGCTGTTTTAAAATAATAAATAATGCCCTATACAAACGATAATTAAGAATATATTATCCTAAAGTACATTGGAATACCTTTTCTATGATTACTTTTAGAACGCTGTCTGGATAAGTGAGCATTTTCTAGGTAATAAATAATTCCCACAAATTAATAATACTGAACATTTTTTAAAAGTTTATGTTTGCAATATTTCTTAACAAAATAATTGAAGGAAAATATAACAGTAGTAATATTTTATTATGGAGATATTTGGTATATTCTTTGAATTTTCTGTAACTGTTAAATTTCTTAGAAGAAAAAAAGTTACATCACAACTCATCCAGTTTTTAGGGGAGCATGTAGGCAGGGACAATAAAATCTCTTTGCTCATAAATGCTCCAGTGGTTACTTAGAGAATTTGTCTTTTAAGAGATCTTGAAGGCAATTAACATATATTCCATTGTGGTCCTATAACAACTGCTTATTAGAAAAGGAATGTTGAAAAACAGGTTGTTTTTGTTTCTGTTGTTGTTAATAAATAAACTTAGCTGGTAGGTTTAAACTGCTGTTTAAAGATTATTAACAACTTGACCTATAAACTTAATGGAAAGGATCTAGCAGCTGCTGGCAAGTAAAAATCAATCAGAAATGGGGAAATCATCTCTTTTATTAATTAAAGATTAGATAAAATAATCACATTTACAAAACTTTGACTTACATATTAATAGTACATTTGCTGTAAAGGTATGTTTTACTCAACATAAAATTAAAACTCTTCATCTAGCCTTAAGGTTTATCTCCACTTAATAGTTGTGTGATCTTAGAAGAGTTAAATACATTCACAGTTTTATTTAAACTCAGTTTCATCATTTTAAAAATAGGGACAAGAAGAGTATCTCATTCAAAGATTTGTTGTGAGGTTTAAATGAGACGAGTCTCTATGAAAGATTTAGCACAGCGTCTGGAATAAGGTAAAGCTTCAATTAAGGTTAGTGTTACAGGTTGAGTATCCCTAACCTGAAAATCTGAAATCTGAACTGCTCAATAATCTAAAACTTTTTGAGCACCTACATGATGCTCAAAGGACATGTTCATTGGAGCATTTTGGGCTCCTGGATTAGGGATGTTCAACTGATAAGTACAATGCAAGTATTCCAAAATGTGCAAAAACCCCACATCCAAAATATTTCTGGTCCCAAGCATTTTGGATAAGGGATATTCAAACTGTATTATTCAGCTAAATCTGGATCCATTACTAAAGCCCCACTCACTACTTCATATGTTAAACCAAGGGTTCAATTTTCCCTGTTAAAGTAACCATGCTAAGAGGGGCTTATTAAGTCTTTAAAATTCATATCATGGTGAAAAAACATTATAGCACAATATTCACCCGCAAAGATTTATGATGTTGAGGCAGGACAAAAGTATCATTTATCTATGAGCAACTAATTATAGATATTTTTAAATAAAGCAAACACATGAATCTTGAAAGTGCCTTTTGGTTGGCTTGGTTTTCCCTGTAAACACTCACATGGAACTCATTTCAGAATAAGGTTTTATGAAAGAAACTTCATACTTTGTGATTATATTTAGAAAACCACTCTAAAATGGGAAGAGAAGCATGAGTTATGATAAACTAGGCCTATGACTTTAAATGGAAGATATTTAGTTTCCTCATCAAATGTAAATTTCCTGCAACGAAGAAAAAAAATAAAACTCAGACATTTAAAACATTTTATTATTTAACTTTACTGCAAAAGACATTTTATAATGTGATGTGTATATGAATCATTAAATCTAAAACTATTTTTATGCTACCACTTTTTAATGTTAAACTTTTATTAGAACTAATTGGTTAGATAACTTCTACCAAATTATAAAAATAAGACTTCCCACTAAGAAAATGATAAATATTGATATAACAGGATAATTATAGTAAAAAGTCTAGAAATTCAGGCTTGTACTTTGGGCCAGATGTGAAATTCATAAAAGTGTTGATTCTCTAATTGCTAGTGTAATTGCTGCTATGGGAAGAGGTGACACTTTCACTCCAAAGCTGTAATGGGATAAATGCAGAGCACTGATTCCACCCTGCCCTCAGTAATATCTAATCACTGAGAAGGCCCTGGCTATATTTCCACAGTCTATAATGCTCAGTTTTCCTGGGGCCCCAAATTAGCCAGTGGAAAAATGAACCCCTGGCTAAGTGTGGCACATGATTTATACATTGAATATTTTAATAATGAGAAACTTACTACTTACAAGTTAAAATGTTTGCCTAGTCTTGTTTCTCATGCAGTATTTCATGAAGGAAAATAAAAATATGTTTCGAACCCCAACATCAAAGTCCCAAATTTCTACTACAGAGAAATAAATGTGGAAAATATAGGATTGAGAAGTGGACTTAATTAACTTTGAGCAAAAGATGATGCTGGACTATTTACAATAGCAAAGACAAGGAATCAACCTACGTGCCTGTCAACAGTCCACTGGATAGAGAAAATGTGGTACTTCTACACCATGGGATACTTTGCAGCCATAAGAAAGAACAAAGTCATGTCCTTTCCAGGAACACGGATGCTGCTGGAGGCTATTATCCTAAGCAAATTAACACATGAACAGAAAACCAAATAACCCCCGTTCTCCATGGTATGGAGAACCAATATCACTTATACCACATTGTAAGGGAGTGCTAAACATTAGGTACTCATGGACATAAAGATGGCAACAATAGACAGTGGGGACTACTAGAATGTGGAAGGAGGGAGGGGAGAAAGTGTTGAAAAGCTAACTACTCGGTGCTATGCTTACTACCTGGGTGACAAGATCATTTGTATCCCAAACCTCAGCATCATGCAATATACCCTGTAACTAACAAATCTGCATATGCAACCACTGAATCTAAAATAAAAGTTGAAATTATTTTTTAAGAAAGATGATGCTGGCAGAAGGTCAGGAGAAATGTTTGGTACTGTCATTTAAGCTGACACAGGTGCTTCTGTCCAGCTGCTTCTCCTTTCCCTTTCCCTCCTGCTTGCTTCCTTAGAAGGGGCATTGGCATCCACACTGCAATAGCCTTTCTGCTTTCACCACTGGTCTTTTTGAGAAGTTACTTTCTCCTTAAATACCCCTGCTAACAAGGTTCTCTTTTCCACGTAATCATACTGATAATAAAAACAGCTCATATTCATGAAGTACTTACCGCTTACCAAGCACCTTGTTAGGAAACTTACATGTTTCATAACAACTCCATGAGATTGACTCATGGAGTCAATTTCCCACTCCATAAAGCTTAGAATTAGCAGAGCCAAGATTTGAACCCAGTACTGCAGACCTGACATGCTGCTTTTATGCTGCTGCTCAACAGGAGACTTAGCAGCTGTTTCCTTATGTCCTATGTATAATCTGTCCTCAACCTGAGCTACTGGAGGAAACTGTGGGACCATGACAGTTTCTACTTTAATCAACTTCCTGGGAAGACAAAAAAAAGAAAAGTCTATGACATTGTTTCTGATTCCAAAAGCTTATAATCTTCTAAAGATGCAGAAAGATAAGATAACAGAGGCGGAATAAATATATAAAGAAAAGGAGGGATACAATTTAACCCAATTTTATTAAAAGTTAAAAATTTCAAATGCAATAGTATTAAAACCACTAACATGAAAAATGAGAAGTTTCAAGGTCAACTTTTGTGTGACTCACTTTATATGTTTTATATCAATAAAAATTGCCAAAAGCTAAAATAAACTTTATTTTCCTTTCAGGTAAACCTGTATGTAAAACAACATTGTAGATTAGCTTTTTAGTTTCCACAGAAATATTAAGAAAACAAATCTAAATCACATCTTTTAATGACCTTTGAATAAACAAAGTAAATGATCATGAATATACCTCATGAGGTCTGGATCAGTGTGTTTACATTAGGAGACACACTGGTGCTTCCTAATGTTTACAGAATACGAAAGAGTTCAAAAGCTAGATGGCTCATTGTCTGTCTGAAAAAGTCACAGCATTGTCAGTCCATGAAAAAAGTGACCTAAGTTAAAAATAGAATTCTCATTATGCTGTCTACCCCCTTTTCCTGAAGAACTTCACTTAAAAATAGTCACACAGATTTTACAGCCATAATTACTTTCTTTGGTAAACCCATCGAATGTGTTTCAGATGTTATGGTTCTCTGAAAAAACTCCATTACCAGGTTTATTTGTAGAACGGACAGAAAACACACGAATTACTCGCTGTTTTTTAATATTAAATAAGACATAGCTACTACTTAGCTAATACAATAACCATATCATACTAGGTTAACATCATCCTCCTTTTGCTCTGGTGTTTCAAGGTTCAAATAAACAACCAAAACTGTAACAGGAATACATAGGAAAACTGATTTAAAAAACTTGTCATCACCACTGTCAAACGAGATTAGTTTTATGTATCACATTGGTAAGAAGCAACATTTCTGAAAGCATCTAAGAAGTAATTTTCATAAAAGATTAGATTTTCAGTCAGTTTTCAGTTTCTTGTTATTAAAGAAACCACCCCTCACTGGGAGTACCTGTATTCTCTAAAAATTTCCAATCAGATGACCACAGAATAATCCCCTGAAAACTTTTTGATCATGTGCCCAAAATATAAATATTTATCTATAATATATATGTTTATTCTCAAAATTAAATACATACAGGTGTGTGCGGGTGTATAGATAGATAGATAGATAGATAGATAGATAGATAGATAGATAGATAGATAATATATATATATAAAACTAAACATAGACACTAAAAGTGTCCATTAAAAGTGGGCATTTTAAAGGTTGAGTATAAAAATGAAATAAACACGATTTTTAAATGACTGGCTAATCATAATACTATATTCACAATGTGCATTATCTCAAAGTGGAATATACACTTAGGGTGAGGTTCTTTGTCAAAGGCATTTGGATACATTCACTTTTCTAATAGTCTTCTTGGAAATTATCAACTTTTGGTGGTAGAAGTTCGGTTATATCTGATTAAAATACCACTGATTTTTGCTCTAAGTGTGGCTAAAGCTAGTATTAGGAGCACAAGTATCAGCTCCTCCATGTGACTGCGTCACAAGTAGTAGCTTCAACCTGCAGGCTCTTGGCAGGAATCTTTTAAAGGCACTTGACCACTTTACAAATGTTATTTTGCTTAAGGCTAAAAACACAATCTGCAAATCTAGGCACGCATAAACAGCAATACCTCAAACAAGCTGAAAGTGAATAAATGAGTAAGGTCCTGCTGTCAGCGCCTCCAGGACGCGGAGTTCATACTCTTTCCTCCAGAAGCCTGTTACCAAAGTTGATATGTGACCAACTGACACATGGGGTGACTTGGGTCAATCCACAATTTAAACATTTGTATTTTTAATTTATTTTATATTTTAAATGTTTGGTTTTTTTGTTTCTTCTGTATTTTAAATAACTGTATTTCTTAGAAAAAAACTTTTTAAAGATAGAAACACACTGAGCCAGTCATTATAATATAATAATTTCTGTCCATACCCCATGGATCATCTTGCCTACTTTTGAGGTGCAAACTTGAGCTTTGAAGGTCACTGGCCTAGAGAACGAAATATAAACTTCAACCTTTCTTGCAAATCTTTCCACAGCCTAGCTTTATCTCTCTCTCTGTCTCTCTCTCTCTTTTTTTTCTTTTTGCGTATTCTCACAAAGTTTTTAGTATTCCCACAAATGAACCCTTCATACCAAGCAAGTTGGTTGTTATGACAGAACAAGAAGCTGGGCAAGAGACCAGGACTCCAATTTGTCTGGTTGGGAATATCACCTATGGAGTGGGTCAGCTGGACAGTAAGCCAGCTATACTAACCAGCCAAGAGTCTGAGTCTTCAGACTTCAGCCAGGCAAACGTTACAACATATAGGTCACAGGAGGGCAGACAAGAAAGGTAGAGGAGAAATCAAACAGGCAGAGAGCACCAAGGCATAATAGCAACATTTTGGAATGGTCAAAAGATCAAGGACTCAGGAATCAGGAGATCCACTTTAGTAGCACAGGGGTTGGTGAAAGGGCAAGGAAACAGATGTGAGGCCCAAGCAACAAAGCAATTTGATACTACAGCAATTTTCTGCTATGGCCAGGAAGTTTCTTACACGTTTCCTACTGGATGCTTTCCCAGAACTAAGCTAATGTGACCCTGAGCAACAACGCAGCAGGCAAAGAACACTGTCCAGAGAAAAGATGGCATAAGAAGGGACCAAGGAAAGGAAAGATTTCTTACTCTCTTCAGAGGTTGTTCCTCTGCTCTAATGCTCCCAATCTCCCGCAATATACTCCTCTCCTACTCATCCTTAAAATCACTCTAAAATCCTACTTCCTCCCTTACTCTTTAACAATCTCAACACACCGTTCTCTGAATTCCTATAGTGATTATTCCTCTGAGCATTTTAACTCAACTGTGTTTACATTTTTGTTTGTTTGTTTCATGTATGAGTTTCCTCCAAAGAGATTCCAAACACCTGGAGAGCTATGGATTCATGTTACACTTTGTTTTTTAATAGGCAATGCTTCTTAAATGCTTCCGAGAGTCCCTTTAATAATATATCACTCTTCACTCAGGCAAATGCGCAGAAGGTCATATACACAATATTTAGTATATACTTACATAAGATTAGGTAATTTATCTTAGGTTATTATAATAAAATTCTACCACTGAATTCAAAGTAAAGGCAAGCAAAAAGTCTGTATCAAAATACAATAGGCACAGATTTCTTCACATATGTGAAATATGAAGAATCAGAATAGGAAATATTGGCAAGTGGTCATTAAATCATAATCTATGGGTATAGAAATAGAAAGAATGTGTATATACTAGTATTTGCTAGCATAACAGGCTATCATAAAAAATTATACATTTAAAATTAACTAAGCGTACAATTGAATTGTCTGAAACACAAAGGATAAATGCTTGAGGTGATGGATACCCCATTTACCCCGATGTGATTATTATGCATTGCATGCCTATGTCAAATAGTTCATGTAACCCATAAATATATATACCTACTATGCACCCACAAAAATTAAAAATTAAAATTAAATTAAATAATATAAAAAAGTATAATCTATCCATGTATGGATTATCGTAACATTAATTTACTGGCAAATTCCGGCCTGAAACGGTGGCTCACGCCTTTAATCTCAGCACTTTGGGAGGCGGAGGTGGGCAGATCACCTGAGGTCGGGAGTTCGAGACCAGCCAGAGAGACGTGGTGAAAGCCCGTCTCTACTAAAAATAGAAAACTTAACCTGGCATGGCAGTGCACCTCTGTAGTCCCAGCTACTCAGGAGGCTGAGGCAGGATAATTACTTGAACCCGGGAGATGGAGGTTGCAGTAAGCCGAGACTGCACCACTGCACTCCAGCCTGGGTGACACAGTAAGACTCTATTTCAAAAACAAAAAATAATTTGGCAAATTCCATAAGCTCCTACAATATGCCTACCATCGAACACCTAGCAGATACTGTGGTAGGTACTAGATGAAGAAAGGAATACAGAGATGAAGAAAGTTTCATCTCTGCCTTAGAAAACCCTAGAGAATATAAAATATTTCAGGTCCACCTAATCAAGTCCAGAAAGTCTTCAAATGCCCAGCCATTTGAGGTTGGGTATGAAGGATGAATAGCAATTCACCAGGTAAAGATGGGAGAAATCACAGTTGGCAGAAGGGCAAAATTTGGATTGCGGAATCCACAAGGAAAAAGATATGAGACAAACTAACATATGAGGGGTGGGGCAGGAAGAAGGTGTGAGAAAGGGAAGGATGGAAGGTAGGACTAAAATGTGGCCTGGTACTAAAGCATACACTATGTTAGGGAGGTTAGACTTTGTTTTCGAGGCACTGAAGAGCCACTGCCAATTTTTAAGTAGCAAATTAGCAGATTTTTATCTGGTTTGCTGGACAAAAAATAATATTTATTAATTTAAATGATTATTTAATTATAGACTGCTTCAGGACAATATGTGAATCCAACCAAAGTGATACATAACATTAGGGCTCATTCTTTTGTTTCCAAAGTTAACTATTTTGTTTTTTATAAGTCATTTGATTTCCAAACTATATTTGGGAATATAAAATATGTACACCATGAGGTTAAAAAGAGAAATGTCAACAATGCCACCATGTAATGTATTCATAATGCCCATAATAACAAATATGTGGATTAATTTAAACTATTCCTGAGTTATATTTCATATATGTATCTTAACTTGGAAAAGATGGGCAATTAAGTGCTGGTGTACTATCCTCTGGAAATCATGGACCGTAAACGGAAGCCACCTACAGAGAGGCTTAGCAGGTTTAGATGTGCATCTCCAAATTGCTTCAGAATATTAATTATGTATATTATTACTCAAGTTATTCATGTCCGGATCATGAGTCTAGCAATTCTGCCTTTTCCTACATTAAAACAATGGAAAGCAAAAAAATTCAAATAAACAACCTAATGATGCACCTTAAAGAACTAGAAAAGCAGAGCAAACCAAATCCAAAATTAGTAGAAGAAATAATAAAGAAGAGAGCAGCAATAAATACAATTGAAATGAAGAAAATAATACAAAACATCAGTGAAACAAAGAGTTGGTATTCGAAAAGTTAAACATAATTGACAGACCTTCAGCCAGACTAACTAAGAAAAAAGAGAGAAGATCCAAATATATAAAATCAGAGTTGAAAATGGAGACATTACAACTGATAACTGATACCACTGAAATGCAAAGGATCTTTAGAGACTACTATGAGAAACTATATGCCAATAAATTGGAAAATCTAGAAGAAATGGACAAATTCCTAGACACATACAACCTACCAAGACTGAACCAAGAAGAAGTCCAAAACCTGAACTGACCAATAACAAGTAATGAGATCAAAGCTGTAATAAAATTTCTCCCAGTAAAAAACAGCCCAGGACCTGATGGCTTCACTGAATTCTACCAACCATTTAAAGAAGAACTAATACCAATCCTACCCAAATTGTTCTGAAAAAACAGAGGAAGAGGGAATACTTCCAAACTCATTCTATCAGGCCAATATTACCCTGATACCAAAACCAGACAAAAACATGTCAAAAAACATATATGCAGGCCAATATCTTCAACAAATATTAATGAAAAAACCCTCAATAAGATACTAGCAAACTGAATGCAACAATACATTAAAAACATTATTCATCATGGTCAAGTGGGATTTATCTTGGGGATGCAAGAATGGTTCAATATAGGTAAATCAATCAATGTGATATATCAAGAGAAGAATGGAGGACTAAAACCAAATGATCATTTTAATCGATGCTGAAAAATCACTTGATAAAAATCAACATTCCTTCATAATAAAAACTCTCAAAAAACTGGATGTAGAATTAAAACATCTCAATGCAATAAAGCCACATATAGCAGGCCCACAGCTAGCACCATATTGAATGGGGAAAAACCAAAAGCCTTTCCTCTGAGATCTGGAACACAACAAAAAAGCCTACTTTCACTACCATTATTCAACATAGTACTCAAAGTCCCAGCTAGAGCAATCAGACAAGGGAAAGATATAAAGGGCATCCAAACTGGAAAAAAAGAAGTCAAATTATCCTTGTTTGCAAATTATGTGATCTTATATTTGGAAAAACCTAGAGACTCCATAATAAAATCTTAGAACTGATAAACAAATTCAGTGAAGTTGAAGGGTACAAAATCATCATACAAAAATCAGTAGCATTTGTTTATGCCAACAGTTACAAGTTTGAAAAAGAAACACAAAAGTAATCCCATTTACAGTAGCCACAAATAAAATTAAATACTTAGGAATTAATTTAACCAAAGAAGTGAGAGAACTTTATAATAAAAACTATAAAATAGTGATGAAAAAATGGAAGGGGGTACCAAAAATGAGAGATATTCCATGTTCATGGATTGGAAGAATCAACATTACTAAAATGTCCATACTACCCAAAGCAATCTAAAAACTGAATGCAATTCCTACGAAAATACCAATGACATTCTTCACAGAAATGGAAAAAAATCCTAAACTTTATATGGAGCCAGAAAAGACCCAGATTAGTCAAAGCTGTCTTAAGCAAAAAGAACAAAACTAGGGGAATTACATTACCTGATTTGAAATTATACCACACAGTTGTAGTAATCAAAACAGTATGGTACAGTGTAAACTGAGACACATAGACCAATGGAACAGAATAGAGAGGCCAGAAACAAATCCACACACCTACAGTGAGCTTGTTTTCAACAAAGGGGCCAAGAACATACACTGAGAAAAAATGCAGTCTTTTTAATAAATGGTGCTGAGAAAACTGGATATCCATATGCCAAAGAGTGAAACTAGACTCCTATCTCCTACCATATAAAAAAAATCAAATCAAAATGGATTAAAGACTTAAACCTAAGACCTCAAACTATGAAGTTCTGACAAGATAACATTGGGGAAACTCTCCAGGACATTGGTCTAGGCAAAATTTTCTAGAGTAATACCCTACAAGCATATTCAACCAAAGCAAAAACGGACAAACAGGATCACATCAAATTAAAAAGCTTCTGCACAGCAAGGGAAACAATCAACAAAGTGAAGAGAGATCCTACAGAATGGAAGAAAATTGCCCATCTGACAAGGGATTAATAACCAGAACATATAAGGAGCTCACACAACTCTCTAGAAAAAAAAATATTGGCAAAAAATCTGAATAGGCATATCTCAAAGAAGACAAACGAATGGTGAACAGGCATATGAAAAGGTGCTCAATATCACTGATCACCAGAGAAATGCAAATCAAAACTACAGTGAGATATCAGCTCACCCCAGTTAAACTGGCTTATATCCGAAAGACAAGCAATAACAAATGCTGATGATGATGTGGAGAAAAGGAAACCCTCAGACATTGTTGCTGGGAATGTAAATTAGTACAACCACTACAGAGAACAGTTTGGAGGTTCCTCAAAAAACTAAAAATAGAGCTACCAAATGATCCAGCAATCCCCCTGCTGGGTATATACCCAAAAGAAAGGAAATCAGGATACTGAAGAGATATCTGCATTCCCATGGTTGTTGCAGCACTACTCACAATAGCCAAGATTTGGAAGTAACCTAAGTGTACATCAATAGATGAATGGATAAAGAAAATGTGGTACACATACACAATGGAGTACTATTCAGCTATAAAAAGAATGAGATCCTATCATCTGCAACAAAATAGAACTGGAGATCACTATGTTAAGTGAAATAAGCCAGGTACAGAAAGACAAAGATCACATGTTCTCCCTATTTGTGGGATCTAAAAATCAAAACAATTGAACTCATGGACATAGAGAGTAGAAGGATGGTTACCAGAGGCTGAGAAGGGTAGTTGGGGGTTGGACAGAAAGGAAAGGATGGTTAATGGGTACAAAAAAATAGAATGAATAAGACCTAGTATTTGACAGCACAACAGGGTGACTATAGTCAATAATAATTTAATTGTATACTTTAAAATAACTAAAAAAATATAATTGCATTATTTGTAACATGAAGGATAAACGCTTGAGGGAATGAATACCCCATTTTCCATGATGTGATTATTATACATTGCATGCCTGTATGAAAACATGTCACGTACTGTGTAAATACATACACCTACTAGGTACCCACAAAAATTAAAAATAAAAAAAATTTTAAAAGAAAACAAACCCTGATCTGCTTGCCTGTTGGCTTGAGGTCCATGCTAATTTCTTTCTAAAGTATATCTGAGAAATAATCTGCAGTCCATAGTATGTTCCAAGCAAAATATCACTAATCCAAAAATAATAAAGTTAGTAAAGTAAAAGAAAATATTGCTATTATTTAAACTGGTAGGGGACTAGTATAATTGTCCCATTTTAAAGAGATAAATATTGCTTAATATTTTTAAAAAATAAACTTTGGTGGATATTATAAAACAAACATCAGAAATTTATCTCCATCTAAAACCAGGCATGATATTATAATTTCATGGAAATATTTTGGAGTAATGACTTTCAAATGAATACCGGAAGAATGTTATTAAAAAGAACAAAGATTAGGAAATACACTGTAGCACATAATCCTGCAGTAGGGAAGGGAACAGTCTCTTATGATCCAATAGGATTTTTCCATTCTTAAGTTGGTAAATCTTAGACACTAAGTAAATAAATCATTCTTGGTTCCTAAAAGTCTGTGTGGTGATACTCAAAGAAAATTAATTCCTTTTGCTACACATGGTTCATAAAAACATAGTATTGAAGCCAACTCAATGAAAATTTTAGATTACTACCATAAGATGTCAATTTTTCTTAAAATAAGGGATTTTTCCATCCCTTTCGAAATAGTTTCAAACACAAAAGTGGCTTTCCAGTAACAAGAATTATGTGATGCATGTGGCAGAATGGCAAAGGCATGATGCCGTCATAAATGGAGAACTTGTGAACTCAGCGTGGTAAAGAGGCCAACACTTGAAAACTAAAAGCAGAAGCTGCCTTCTGAAAAATCCAGATGTTCTAAAGATACCATTCCATCACTTTAAATGTCAGCCAAAAAGAGCCTAATTACTGGAGAAAATGTGATTAAAGTTCTTATCAAATACAGCCACTACGTTGGAATCAAAATGTTATCATCGCTTAAAAATGATTTATTTAGAACCTAATTGCACAAGTAAGACAACAATTGCCCTCTAGGTGCTAACAATCAAAGATGGGCACTTATATTGATGCGCATATATTGAAACACGGAATTAAGACTTGCAGAGCAAATATATGAATGGAAACAGGTATTGTCCAAATAAAAGATAAGTGCACCACAGCAAGGAGGCAACATATGTAACTTGGTTGAGAACGGAATAGCTAATGGAAACCCTTCCTTCCAACTGAACAAACTATGTGGAAATAGTCTGGTCTTTGGTTCCTTAATCAGGAGAGTTTGATGAAAGAACAGGGATTTCAAAATCTGTTAGAAAGTTCACAAAACAGGTATAATCTGTAACCTTCCACAGGTAGGTGGTGACAGAAAAGGAGGAATGAGAAGCCACTTAATAACAGAAAATGGTTCAAAGGTGATTTCTTAAAGGTAGAAATAACGTGGATAATTGGTGTCTTAAGGGAAAGAAATCAATAAAGCTTGAATGATTCAACCCAGGGATCTTCCTTGACTCCTTTCTTTTCCTTACACATAACATCCAATCTAGCAGTAAGTCCTGTTAGCTTTACCTTCAAAATACAGGGCAACCTTGAAACCTCGTCTCCCCACTACTAATCTCCTAGTTAAAATCAGCACCATCTTTCACCTGGACTTCTGCAAAGGCCTCTAAACTGTCCTCTCTGCTTCCACTATCCCAAGAGGCCACTATTCACACTACAGTCTACCCTCTACCCAGGAACCAAAACTTTACAATGACCTATCACACTTAGAACACTTAGAATAAAACACAAACTGAAGCTATCAGAATCCCATTTAATCCATGATATTGCTAGAATAGTACATATTTTTAAAAAGGAAGAAGTTGACGTCAGTTGAACACCAACTATATACCAAACTGTTGAGTTCTATATTTCACCTAACTGAAAAAATATTTTATACTTTAATAAATACATATGTCACAGTCATACTATGTATTAAATTCTCCTTTGGGAGCAAGCAAAGGAGGCCAAGTACTAATTTTTAAAAAATTATTTGCATCCTAAACACCTGAGATAGAATTGCTAACATGCACAGGAATTACAAATCAGAGGTTGATCATTATGTAAGTAGCTGGAGCAAAAGTCAAATGGATTCACATTCATTCTTAATGGGAGAGCTCTTGGGTACAAAGGTTTAGGGGCAATAGAGGTGACTTGGGACTGTGGATATGATACCACACATGAAGGGCAGCTGAATTTCTCAACTTTGGTCTGGATGCTTACTTGATTATACTCATATCTCACTTCCATTGGCTTGAAGTTGGCCTGACAACTCTCTAACCAAGTAAGGTCAGGACTAAGATGAATCTGGCTTGAAATGCTCCACATTTATGAACACTTACAAACTAACCTACTAAAGAATTTAGAGCTGTGTCTTTATCCTATTTAAATCCCTATGAAATTAACTGATAACCATGTTTTTGACTTGGGCCTAATGGTCTGACTAGGAACCATGAGAGTCTCTGATCTGAGGAAAGTCTAATGCCTTAGGCACAAAACTAATGGACTTTACAAAACCAAGATTATTATATCTCTTGAGGAAAAAGGTAGTAAATTTTTAAGAATGAGGGAGACTTCTTGAGAAGAAATTCACCCCTGCATATAGAAATAAAATTCTACAGGACAAAAATGGGATTAGTCAGGGGAAAAAATCTGAAAACAAATATGCCAAAATATTAATAATGATTTATTCTAGGTAGTGGTACTATGAAAGACTGTTATTTTATTCTTTGTATTTTGGGGTAGGGGACATATTTTATTTTCTTTTAAAAGAAAAGCATTGCTGGGTGGAAGTCTATGCCTTTACCTCTTTGATTCCAACTATGCTTCTCCTTTAAGACAAGAAGCACAAACTCATATGTCTATAAAGCCCAGGCAAGTAATGTAGGTGAGTGATGAATTGTGTCAAAGCAGCAAGCACATTCCCATGTCAAGAGGCAGATGCTCCTTAGCACAAGCATATAGTTGCGGCAAAGAAATGCAGGTAGCATTGTTGAGAGATCTCGAAATTTTTTTTTGCACTTGAAATCTGTTTTTGTTGAAACTTTCTGATTTTTAAATTGTGGCAATTTATTTAAATTTTAAAAACCTAAGCAAATGAAAAAGCAAAACAAAACAAACTCTGAGGTATCAAGCAAAGTGTAAAGGATTTTCAAGGGTGATTTTGCTCATACAAGTACAAGTAGATATTTATTTGTTTTGATATACAAACCTATATTCATGGTTACACACCAGAAGCACAGATCTAGATTTAAAAAAAAAAAAAAAAAGAATGGCAATGGTCTATAAGCAGAAGTTTGGGCATACAAATAATGCCTTTAAGAGAACTATTAAATCTCTATCTAAATGGATGGACAGAAAATTCTCAAATACTACTTTCTGCTCATAAAATTTATTCCCTTCTATTTATTATTGTCTTTATTGCATGTTAACAGATTAAACAAGATAATGGGAGTGACACCTAAAATGAGGTGTCATAATAAAACTTTACCAAAATTGTAAATGAAATAAGTATGTTCTGCTTTGTTAGTTTGTATATCCAACATGAAATTCGCTGAGAAAAAGTAATGACTAAATGAGTCAGAGAAAGGAAACCTGACGGATCGGTTAAGACAAATCTATAATAAGAATTATTTCTCTCAAAGAACTGGATGCAAGGGGTGTCATCTCAGGTGGACAGGACACAAGGCAGCTAAGACCATTAGGTGATGGAGGAATGTCAGCTGGCCAAAACCCCATCAGGCTCAGGTGGAAGACCTTGCTCTCGTTATCAGAGTCTTCAGGTGAGGTAGAACAGATTGAGGTGGAAAGAGTGGAAGGAATGGAGCATGAGAGTCTGGAAGGTATGATAGGTTGGTAAGCAAGGCCTAGAGAAAACTAAAAATATATTCAAACAAGGGAGAAAAATAAAAAGTGTCTGAAGGATAAAAATTAGAGGTAGGATACAAAGAACGAGGGTGGGATGAGGCAGAGGGAGAAAAGCATAAAGTCATTTATAAGACAAGTACTGAGGTCAAGGCCAGCAAAGAACAGTGGCCTGAAGTCAGACCCTGGGAAACAATCTGGAACGCGGTTCTGGTACAGGAAGAGGCAGACTAACAAGTTCCCAGATTTGGCCAAGTTTTTTCAGCTTTGTTACTTTTGGCCAGGTAGGGGATGTTTACCTATCAAGGGCCAGATGAGGTGGAGAACATAATCCCAGAGAGGTATGCAGAATGATCAGTTCCCTAAGTGGACTGGAGGCCAGAAATACCACCCTGAAAGTCTGGGACCAACCTGGGATCCAGCAGTGTATCCTCATTACAGGTGGGCAAAGCTGTGATTCATCTGTCAGCAAGTTTGCTATCTGATATATTTCTGCTAAAAGTAAGCATCCAGGAAGTTAACCTGTTTCATTTACTTTGCAAACAATGTATAATCATGAAACATTTAAAGAAGGAATTTTTAAAAAGTTTTACAGAAGCTAAGTGATATTTTTTCTATGTCATGTGTGGCCCTTGGACTTTATATTTACATAAGAAAGACAGCAGCAGAGTCTGTTTTAATCTTTAACCAGAACTGATTTCCAAGAATGAGTGCCACATCCTCAGTTCCTCCTGTTCAGTTACTTTCAACCAGTTTCTAGCATTTATTTTATTTTATTTTATTTTTTTAGAGACAGGGTCTCACTCTATTTCCCAGGCTGGAGTGTAGTGGTGTGATCATGGCTCACTGCAGCCTCGAGCCCCTGAACACACGAGATCCTCCGGCTTCAGCCTCCTGAATAGATGGGATTACAGGTGTGCACCACCACACCTGGCTAATTTTTTAAATCTTTTGTAGAGACAGGGTCTCACTATGTTTCATAGGCTTGGTCTCAAACTGCTGGCATCAAGTGATCCTCCCTCCTTGGCCTCCCAAATTGCTGGGATTACAGGTGTGAGTCCCCGCACCCAGCCAGTTTCTAGCATGTAAACTTATTCAAGCATGCTTGAAAATCAAGCATGTTGAAAATACTAACCTATATTAAGCTGTGAAACTGTTCATTCAGAAGGAAAACATTGTGGTGTAATCCCAATGATGATATTTGCTATGAAAGTGAGGATAGAGCAATGACTCAAGACTGACTAAGTGAATTAAGCCTGAAACTTGGCTGCTTATCAAGCATTAAAAATGAATCTCTACTATCTATTTAAAATGTAGGAGCTAAACTAAAATATGATAACCACCTAAGGAAATGGTATGAGCACTGAAGACCAAACAATGGTGACTGAAATTGCCAGGATCCTCTACTTTTTGGCCCAAGCATAAAAATTAAGGTCATTCGAGACTCATGTTCTGGTTCTGAACAGAAAGTGTTATCCATTATTTTCTCTTTGCAAAAGATCATCAGCACCAAATAGTCAAACATGACAGAAGAAAATGAACTTGCAATTCATATTACACTTCATAGTGCCTTCAGGGATTAATACATATAAATGTGCCATGGGAATGAAACAAACACTTTCCAAAGTAATACTACACATGCCTAGCCAAAAGAAGAGTGCTTCTTAGGGGACACATCAAGCAATCTTGTTCATTAGAAAACCTCTATCTTACTTTTAAGATCCTCCTGGGCCTGGAGGGAACTGGATAAAGGCAAAGACTCTGAAATTTGGAAAAGCCAGGCTAAAGTCAGCAGGGTCTGGTGACAGGGCACAACACCCTCTAAACCTCATCCATCTGCTACTGTTATGGGGTTTGGCAAGTTCACCAAATCTGCAATTCCCTCTCCTATGCTGTTAGGTTACATGAGCACATTGTTCCCACCCACACATACTCTAAAGGCACGGCAGAAGGGAAACATTTTCTTGCCCTCTTAATCATAGCTAACCCAAGCCAAAGAAGGCCTCCTAGGCAAAACGATAGCCCTCAAAAAGGAAGATCTAGGTTTCCAAATAGATGTAAAAACTTATTTTAGAGTTGATTTAGTCCTGAATGATATTACAATAGTAGAATACAAAATGTCCAAGAGTACTTTGTCCAAAGAGTACCTTGGGGGCACAAAAAGGAGAAAATATGATTATCAATGATATTCGTATTTGTTGAGTGCTAAGCACTGTGCTAATGCTTGCAGTACTTCAAGGACCCCTTATATAATAAATTTAATTCTACAATATATGTGTATTACACACATATATCTACATCCACACATTACTCTTCTAAATAATTAACACTATATTATTCAAATTTTATAGCTGGTGAAACAAGGACAAAATTAACAAGCAGCAGGTAAGGGTAAAAAATCTAGACCTGTTGAATTCAATGTTGAATCATTTAAATATTAACTATGAATCATTATCCTGCCTTTCTGTCAACAGTTTATTTTTATTTGAACTAAATCTATAAAACTAAAACTTTACATAATATTTATATTTATATGTAAGTATATATTCAATGTGCTAAACTTTGTGCTAGCTCAGTGATGTTTTGTATTCAATTCTGTTTCTCTAAGGTGAGACATTTTCCTCTTTAAAATGTGTGCAAACAACAAACAATAAGGAGCCAATAAGAAATAGCTATTTCAGAAGCAAATACATGTGAAAGAATCACTTCACTCCCTAAAGCAAGGATTCAAATTTCCTAACCTGTCCATACAGGTCATTGCTTTGTGGGACTTCATGGTCTACACTCTGTGGGTCAGCCCCCCAACAAGAACCTGCCATAAGGGGAATGTCATCCAGCCTGATAGGCCCCTTCTTGCCCAATTAATGCTGTCTTGTGCTGGTGCAGGCACAAGGAGTTCATGATAAGGCTACATTTTTATAGTCTTTTTCATGAGAGATCATAGTATTTACTTTTTCATTTACATGAGATATTTATTTTCTTACAGTAGTTTCACTTCTAATGCAAATCTATTTAAACCATATAATAAAGCATAGCTGTCAGGGGCCAAACCAGATGAATGGGTGTCAACTTGCCTGATACATTACCTATTAAAGTGCAAATTGTTATCTATTTATTTCTCAAGAAATAACTTCAATTCTTACATAATACATAACAAATCAGCCAGGTGCAGTGGCTCACACCTATAGTTCCAGCACTTTGGGAGGCTGAGGGGGGTCAATCCCTTGAGCCCAGGATTTCGAGACCAGCCTGGGCAACATGGCAAAACCCTATCTCTACAAATAATACAAAAATAAATTAGCTGGGCATGGTGGAAAATGCCTGTAGTCCCACCTACTTGGGAGGCTGAGGTGGGAGGAGTCTCTCGAGCCGGGAGGTTGAGGCCACAGTAAGCTGCAATCACGCCACTGCACTCCAGCCCCAGAGACAGAGCAAGACTCTGTCTCAAAAAAAAAAAAAAAAAAAAACCACTGGTCACCGTAATATCAGATTTATTTATTTTAAAATCTGATTATTTCAGAATAAATTTGTAAGACCAACAAACATAAAGAGATAAATTTCCTTAAACTGAAATTTCTGAGGAAGAAACTTCAGATCTATTGCATTTAAATTAATTTATCACAGTTTAACAATGACACAATCCAACAATTTATATTTTCAACTACAGTGAAATCCAGTTAGCTTGATCATTTTGATAGTCAATGACCTCCGAGAATGGAATTCAAGCACTTATCTGCACCCCCATTGGCCCTCCTAAACAGAATAGAGCACATCTTATTCTAATAAATGACACATTTATAAATAAACAACTTTCAGGCCAACTGTTCATAAAAAATTAACAGAAGCAGTTCACAAAGCAAAGTTATGAAGACTATACTTTTGGATGTATAGTCAAGCTACTCCTGACTGCTTGCTTACAGATGTCTCAGATTTTGGCTGTATGCTCCCTGTTACACTGTATCTCCCAAACTGGAGGACAGCAAGTTAAAACTATTACCAGCAAATTAGAAGCTATTTCAACTCTTAAGTAGCCAAAATAATGGCATTCTCCTCAGTGTTCTATCTTGAAATTTGCTGAAAAGGCGACAGATATTCTATGTAGTTATTTAACTGAGAAAAAGAGAAAAGAAAGGTGAAGTTTTAAAGATGTGCTATGTGAAGACCCTACCCACCTCTTGACACCATTTTCTAAGACTCCCCATCTTGTTAAAATTCCAGCTACAATGTCCACTTTGTTGCTCAAGCATGCCAAGCTTTTTCAGGCCTCTGGGCCTTTGCACCTGTTGTTTTCTCTGTCAAGACTGTTATTGTCTTAGATATTTTCCTTTCTTCTCAATTCACATGTCAGCCCCACAGTGATGCTTTTTCTGACCCCACATCCCTTCAATTACTCTCTGATTTTCACTGTTACACTTACCACTAGCTAAAGTGTGTTTATGTACCCCTTCATTCTGTCTCAAATGCCAAGGTATTTACTTTCAGAGAGCAGAGACTGTGTCCTTTTTTGTTTACCACTGTGAACATGGTTACCTGGCCCATATTAGAAACTCAGTAAGGCATGAGGATCACTTGAGCCCAGAAGACCAACCTGGGCATTACAGCAAGACCTCATCTCTACAAAAATAAAAAATAAAAAAAATTAGCCAGACATGGTGGTGCATGCTTGTGGTCACAGCTGCTCAGTAGGCTGAGGTGGGAGGACTGCTTGAGCTCAGAAAGTCGAGGCTACAATGAGCCGTGATCATGCCACTGCACTCTGGCCTAGGTGACAGAGCAAGACCCTGTCTGAAAAAAACAAAAAAGAAAGAAAAGAGAAACTTAATAAATACTGATTAATGTAATGAATGGCTAAAATTGATCTAATTAGAGCACTTTGACTTAAGGACCAGACTTAGGAAACAAGACATTGCTTCTTAATATGGACATTCCTCATTTAATCAAAAATCACCTTGAAGAAGTTGAAGGTGAAAAATGAAACAGGTTCCATATTCATTCTTAGAAATAGATACCCATTGTCTTGCACTCTGCGATTTCTTGTGTTCGTGCTTGAGTGAATCTGTGTCTGTCAAACTCAGGGAACTCACTGGAGTCTGGGAAGTCACTGTGCTGCCTTGCAGAGTCGGTGACTGCTGTGGTTTTAACAAGGTACTGAAATATCGCTAAATAAAGTGTTGTCATGGGAGCAGAATAGTCAAAATTTGTTAATCTGCTCAGTTTTGTCAGCTAGCAGACATACACAGTCCTTCCCACCCCACAGCCGGCCATCCCCACAACTCACTAAGCAAAGGCAAGCTATTTCACCTACTCATTTTATATGCTGCTCTGGTTTTGGGTGCAGTTAAAATTACATCCAATTCTGCAGGTAATCCTAATGTCATAAAGTGATAAGTAACAGCAGAGAATGAGGCAGTGGGATATGGGCATAAAAATAATAATGAAAATGAACACAGATCTTGGAGCTGGAAAAAGGTTTGAGAATGATGAAAACCTTTGCCAAAACTTAAGCTTTGGAGCTTGCTGCTCTGCCTTGGGAATAGCATGTGCCATAGGGTGGGGCACAATGATTTTACTGACAGATTTTTTGATGCTGTGTTCAATTTAGTTTTTATTGTTTGCATTTGGGGGCTTATTTTGAGTCACATACTCTCTTACCATTAATATATGAGAACATCCATTAATATTTTGAGTCTTTATTAGGGTTTAGCCACAAGCTATAATTCAGCTTTAGATGACCTTCTGAAAGTATGCTAATGTGAGATTTAATGATATCCTCTTTATGTTTCCCAATACCAGTTTTTAAAGCAACATTAATTGTTAAGATACATTTACACCTAAAATATTGGAAATACATTGAACAGTGTGAACAACATATTAATAATCTCCAAAATGAACAACCTTTTGTCACTGCAGGGCATGGAAAAAATAAATATTGAATTAGCTAATCTTTAATGTTTATTATTAGTCCTTACAAGTAATCCTTATGAGTAAATAAGATTCAGATTCTTTTACAACACACTGAAGGTTTAACCTATAAAGATGGTTCTCTTTTGTTCCAAAATTATTAAATACATACATGCTTTAAAAGTTATTATTCGATAAAACTGTAAAACTATTGTGTAGTCAGCTCATAAATTATAAGCAAATGGATACTGCTAAAATAGATTTTATGGGCTGATTACACAAGAGTCTTAAAACTTGTCGAATAGTTTGACTTTATATAGCCAAACATATCACGGCAGCCAGCCTTCACAACGGCCCCAGTGATCCCCACCTCCTGATATACTCTTGCGTAGTCCCCTCCCACAGTAGACTAGGGTAGTTGTGTGCGACCAGTAAAATATGGGAGAAGAGATGGCACATGACTTCTAAGAGTAGACTGTCAAATAAAATGTGGCTTTTACCTTGGTCATGCTCATTCTCTCTTTCATAGTATTCAATTTGGGGGAAGCTGATACTATCATTAACAGTCTTATAAAAAGCCCAAAAGGTGAGAATCCAAAGCCTTCCTAAAGCAAGGAACTGGAGCCTCTAGCCAATCGTCACACTAGTCAGTCATCTTGGAAACAGACTATCTACCCTCAGTCAAGCATTTAACTTCATTCCTCACTGATAGTGAGAGCAACCTCATGAACAGCAGAAGCCAAAACTCCCTAGCAAAGCCACTCTTAGATACCCAACCGTCAGAAATTTTGTGACATAATAAATGATTGTTGTTTAAGCTGCCAAGTTTTGGTATAATTTGTCATACAGCAATAGATAACTAATAGACAAATCTGCTTGCAACTCATCTACCCCTGTTACTCCATCTTGGCCAGAGCCAAAGTCAATTGGGTAAGTTTTGATTAAAGATTATGGATAGAAATAAGCTGTGTTTTGGACACTTCCCAAGGACATGAATGAATATAGAAAAATCATTTAGAATTAGTATATCACTCTATTACAAACTGGATTGGAATTCTCTTTTGCGGTATAATGAATATGCTTCATTAACAAAAATATATAATTCAAGAATATACAAACTCATATTTTGTAACAGAAAACAGACCACTGGCTAACTGGAGATAGAAGAGTGGGGGTGAAGGATTAAAAGGGGTAAGAGAAAACTTTTGGGGTATCCTCATTACCTTGATTGTGCTGATGATTTTTAATGGTATGTATATATACATATATGTCAAAACTTATCAAATTGTACACTTTAAATGAGTATCTTTGTTTTTCCAATTTACTTCACTAAAGTTTTTTTAAATGTATTTGATTAATGGATCCATAACTGACCTAATTTTCAAATGGTTATGATTTTCAAATTGCCAGGCCTGAATGACATAAGACTTTGTTCTTTGGGATCTGGGAAATTAAGAAAACCATACTTTTATCACATATTATTCTATCTTCATATCAATGAAACAGTCTCATAAATTATTATAACACTGTGTTGGACAATTTGAATCAGAAAGTACTAGAACAGAACAAATTTGAAAATTTCTCAAGATAATAAAAGTTTATTATATGAAACATGTTAAGAAATATGATGGAAAGGTGACCTCACATTCACATGAAATTTTGCAACATTGAGAGAGGTGAGCACTTCAAAGCAAAAGAAGTGGATAAATCTACACTAATGATTTTTTAGTTCCATGAAAGATTCTATGACACTTCCCCTTGAAACTAGAATCAAGAGTTCTAGTCAATTTTTTCAAAAGAATCCATCCTTTAGTCTTTACATTCTAAAGGATGAAACTTAAAGTGCATTTTCTACTCTGAACTCATAACTTTTCAATAGAGACTAAAGAAAAATTACCTAGATGAGGTTATACCATATATAATTTGTCCATGTTAGAACCAAAGTTTCCATATTAACTACATTAATAATTACAAATATATTACTGCTTCCCCAAATTAAATATTACATATTTACATGGATAAGCAATGATAGCAGGCGGGTTTATGACATTTGCTTCCCTTCATTGTCAATAACATTTCACCTATTTTAATGATATTATCTAAAACAGAAATTCTTCTAAAAGTGAAAAGAAAGGAACTTTTTATGCTATAGCCAAGTAAAATTTTATTGATCTAATTAATTTTGTAGTAAAACATTTTAAATATGATATTCTATAGGATATTTTATTGTTTTATCATCACACCATAATTGATGAGATGATTATCAGTACCTGAAAAAGTTTCTCCTTTTTGCTCCTATTATGCTCCAAATATATTTTTCATGTTAGATATTATTTTCATTTTCCCATTTATACTTTTATAATTAAAGTTTTACCGTAAGTAATTTGCTTCCCTGCACATACTAATTTTCTTAATTATATTTAGAATATAGCTATCACTTATCAGTCATCTATAGGAAGGTGATATTTTCTTAAAAGCTATTTCGATATTACCTTTCAGTTTGTGTTGTCTAACACCCCTATAACATCATTACCCCAATACACACATCTATTGCTAACTCCAACACACACACAAAGAGTGAGAAATACAAAAGTATGTCTAATCAAAAGGAAGTCTAAATGCTGGCTTTTATATAATATATATAAATAATATATATTATAATATAAAATATAAACAGCTACTCATCATCCAAATTAAAACAATAAAAATTTTCCATATTTTTTCAAACTTTTTTGTTTAAAGAAAAAAAATGTTACAGATGCATATAAACCCGCTCTCCCATTCCATTCCTGCTCCTTCTTCCTAGAGGTAAAAAGTGAATTTCCTTTTAATTTCATATGCTCATATCCACTGTCATACATTTTGTTTTGTACAAAGTATATTAATTGAAAACTCCAAGAAATGCCAATTTAAAAAGATTTTCAACTTTACTCTTTATCAGGGAATGCTAATTAAAATCAGCAGATAAAAAATAGTAAAAAAATCTGATGACACGAAGTGTTGAAGAAGATGAGGATAAACAGTAATTTACATGGCACTGATAGAAATATAAGTTGTTACAATGTCTTTAGAGAACAATTTAACAATTTGGGGGCCAAACTGAATATATCCTTATGCTGTGGCCCAGAAATTACCCTTCTAGACATTTACACATGAAAATGTGTCACATTTATATGTAAGGAGGCGTGTAAAAGGGTCATGTTAATAAATGGAACACTTGTATAGTGTTTCTTATGTGACAGGTACTGTTTAAGTCTTTCATGTGTTTTTACTCTGCTATCTTCATAATATGCCTACCTCATAGGAAATATGCTTCATTTAACAGGTGGGTGAACTGAGCACTGGGTTTTATGACTTGTCAAGGTCCTGTAACTAGCAGTGGTAGAACTACAAACCCAAGCAATCCAGCTCTGGAGTCAATGTTGTTAACCGCTGTGCTGTATTGCTCACTGAAACACCATGTGTAAGAGCAAAAGGGTGGAAACCATTCAGAGTTCATCCAGACAGGAAGGAATGAACACACAATAGGACCTTTATACAGGGCAGAATAGCCTTTCAAATGCATAAAACAGACCTACACACAGCTAGTGTACATTTCAGAAACCTAACATGGTATGAAAAGGTGAGTTGCAAAAAGATTCACACTGTGTAATAACTAAAGTCACCCTTATGATTTATTTTCAATAGCTAAAATAGCTAAAGCAATCTTAGACTATATTTAAAAATATGGAATCAAACAAAGAAAGGGATTCCTTTTTTCCCTCCTTGGGGTTAAGGATTGATCACACCTAAAATAGTGTATCAATATAATGAGCTGCAAGACTGATCAACCAGACTGGGTTTAGGAGTGAGCAGCTGGAATGGGCAAAGGTTTTGCAGCTGTATAGAACAAGTGTGCAAAGTCTCTCAAGTAAGAGAATAACTATTTATGTGCAAGAAAGAAACTCAGTCTCCATCAGCCCTCTCTTTCTCCACAGGCTTCCTATCAAATGTGTCAGTACACACTTTTGATAGGGCTTATCTGTTTGACTTAGGACAATTATCCTCATATGAAACATTAACAAATGGTATCACAACATCATTTAACTTGATATACATTAAATATGGTATTCTCAAGTACATGGAAGAGTATTGATAACAAATTATGCACAAAAAAATTTCATGGAAAATTATATAATAATTTAAAAATCTGGCTATTTTTATCTGACCAAAAAAGGTGAAAAAATGAGGAAAAAATAAAATTGCATAGTTTTTATATTGTTGTAGATGAAAGATTCACCAGAAGTTTCCCTCTTACTGTAACAGACTATCAACAAAAATGTATTAATACCCTGTTTAAGAATATATACTTAAGGGGATATTCTAGTAGTGAAAACAATGGTCTGTACAAGGAAGAGCCCTGAGCTCTTCCTCATTCCCTGAATAAGTCTTCTCTATAATGAGGAGAGGCCTGTTAAGAGACCACAATGCTGATGTTAATTCAACTAAACCATCAACCTCCACAGAGTAGGTTCACTTTGTATGAAAAGCAATTAATATTTAAAAAGGTCTCTTTTCAGAGAAGACAAACCTAATAAAGACAAACACTTAAAAGATCAAGGGGCTAAACTGAGCACTGACGCACATGGCTAAAATGTTAGTTTTCAAGAATACTTAATGGACAAACAAGTGGGGGTATATTAAATGTTAATTACTCTTAATGTTAGCTCTTGAAAAAATGCTTGTTTGGGTGTGGTAACTCTTTTTGAAAAACTTGTTGGCACTCCAGTGTAGACCTTGCTATGATTTCTTTCCAACATTGTACACACCTTATTCAACAGACAAATGACTCATAGAAGGCCACAATCCAAGATTTGATAGTCAGCATTTAGCTTGCTAATGATATCCCAGATGTAGCCACAGTTTCTACTATGAGAAAAATAGTAGACAGAGGATTACACTATGGCTCCTATATTTCACTAGAGTCTGTTTTGCAGGAATAGTAAAAATACAGTGAAAGGAGTGTCAGATAAGGTAATGAGGAGAAAGGCCACAGAGGGGTTGTGAAAAGTATGCCAACATCAACAGTTGTTACTCAATATTTGTACCACTGAACCTGAATAAGCCAAGCATAGAAGGTGAAAATGGCTAGATAAGAAAGGAGAAAACAAAGGCAACTAATATAAAGTTGACTAAGCAAATCTGCAGTACAATGATAAAAACACCAAATGATATATGATATCCAACATCAAATACATTATCCATTTGTAAAGTATGAAGGCCCATTAGTCATTTTTTCCTGCAAAGTCCACAAGCACATTTATATGTTTGAATGTATCATTCCAACTTTTGCCAAGAATGTATTATTTTGTTTTTAAGCACTTTTGCCAGCCAGAAGATATTGCTATTTTATATTTTAGTTACCAATTTTTAATACAATTTTATGAACACCTATGATTTTATGTCCTAATGATGCAAATGCAAAAACAAAAAAAAACTTTTTCTCTTTAAGAACTCACAGTGCAGTAATGAGGCAGAAATCTACATAAATATTTCTGCTTAAAAATGAAATTATGCTATCACAGAGTTATATGGTAGTCAGTTTTCACTTTAGCTCACTCTTCCTTCTAGAGGGAAAACATTATTTAATGCTACTCTGTTCCACTAGTCAACATAAATGTGACATGACAGATCTCATACACATTGTAGTTTGATACTGTAATGACATTTTCAAGCATATATGATTTTAACAGAACAGGACAATATTCAAAATGGTGAAATTTGGGACACACAACAAAAACAGGAATTAAAGAATACTTTTCATTTTATTTGCTTTTATAATCTCCCTAGAGTTAGACTCTGTAGGGAAATGCCTACTTTATCTGTGTATCTGAGATCAACCCTGTGTTCTTTTTCCACATAAAAGAAAAAAAATTAGTTACTGTGTCTAGAATCCTGACTTAAAAAAACTGTGGTACAAAAATGCTATTGTGAATTATACAGCTAAAGGAAGCATTGGCTAGTAAATGTTATCAAAGATTGACATATAATCTGCATAACAGCATGAGAGAGGAGGGACAAGGTAGAGTTGAACTATTACAACTCCATGTTAGGTTTTAGTTTTTAGGTTTACACTTTCGCTATCAAATTTGTTATTTTTTATTATAAAATCTCACCCAAATTGTTTCCCATATAAACACTTCTTGGCCCTACACTGAAGACATTCTTGGCCTTGTATTAAAGACAAACAAATAAAACTTTAATAAGTAATAACAAATATGCATTCAGTGCTTATCATTCATCAGGCACTGCAGCAGAAAATGAGTGCACAGCAGTGATGAAAACAGCCATGGTTTTTGCCCTCATGGAGTGTATCATCCATGAGAAAACAGAGATGAATAAGTCAAGAACCACAACATGCTGAGTACTATAGAGAACAGGAAAATGAACTGAGAGAATACAGTCTGTTGGAGAGATGGGAGGATTAAATAGAGTGAAATAGAGTGATGAAGCCCTCCATAAAAGGCGACATTTAACCTGATCCTTGAAGTGAGAGAAGGAACCTCTGATACAAACAGCCAAGGATCAGTGAAAAGAGCATGCCAGGCAGAGACCACGGCACCCACAAAGGTTCCAAGGCACGACAGCTTCAGGGAATGAAGGCAAGGTCCGTGTGGTGTGGGTGGTAGATTGGTGATATGGACCGGAGCTGGTGATACAGTCTTAACAGCCATATTATGATGTGGAATTGATCTTGAAGAGCAGTGGAAAGCTGTAAAAGGGTATCAATAGAGGACACGCATGACATCTTTAAAAGATGACACTGGCTCCTAACTAGAGAGCAAACTGGTTGAGAGAAGAGGTGAAGCAGGCAGATCAGTTAAAAGACTATTTCAGTTGTCACATAAGACGTGGTACATTTGGCAAAAGGTAGTAGATGGATTCGGAAAAAAGGAGATGAACTCATGGCATCATTTAAAGGTAGAATTAAAAGAATTTGCTGGCACACAAAAGTCTTGCTGGTAAGCTGAATACACTTATAGCAAGGAAAGAATAATGCTTGAGAAACTCTGTGAATGATGGCCCCAATTATTAAGATATGGGAAACTGGGAAGAATGGTTTTCAAGCGGATGTTAAACTTGTCATCTGGACATGTTAAATTTGAGATACCTGTGAGACATCCAAGAAGAGCTATCAAGGAGCAACAGAGTATATAAGACCAGAGCTTAAAAGAGTGGTTTACGGTGGAGATAAAAGTTTGTGAGTCACGAAGTATACAAAAATGGTTAAAGCTTAACGCTATGGCTAATGATGAGATCATTTATCGAGAGAGTATGGAGTAATATTTCTATAATTTTAGTATACAATTCCTGAGGAGATTCTGATTCAGTATGTTTGGGGTGGAGGCTTTGAATCTGCATTTTTATTAAACTCTCCAGGCATGTCTCATCCCAGTACTTTGTTAAATACTGCTATAGAGACAGAAAATAAGTGAGCCCACTAGTGAGCTGACAACCTCTAGCAGTTGGTAGTTGGCCAGGAGAGGAAGAGTCTGAGAAGCTGAAGCCAAAGACCAACCAGGAGTGGGTGATCTATATAATTTTTTGAACCATCTTCAGAAGGAAAATAAAGGTTCCCGACTATTAGGTAATACTAGTGAGAATATGATCAGAGTTCCTTTGAGCAATTTCCTATAAAATAGTGCCAATAGCCAGCCTCCAGAACGATAGGTTGCTGCAAGCTCTTGATGCTGCTCAAAAAATATGGATTATGTCAGCAACAGGATCATTGGTGCCTTCTAAGTACAACTATTAATCCTGCTACACTAAAATCAGGGGAGGACATCACGGGATTAGTATTCGATATTTTAAAGTTAATGAGATCTTGATCCAGCCACTTCCATATACTGGGAGTGGGTAATGAGCAACATCACCACCCTCCTTCCCTCCCTTCCTTTCTTCCTCCCTCCCTCTCTCCCTCCTTCCCTTTCTTCTTCATGTTACATGCAGTAGCCTCAAGACCCGAGTATTAAGCAACTCCTTAAAACAATAGGCTAAGAATAAAAGGGCCAGACAAATTATGGGGCAGATTCATTTCTATCTCTTCCTCTAACCAATATCCTGTTTCCAACCCCTCTCCTGGCACTCCTTATCTCCACAGTATTTTAACTGCTTAGAACTGTCACCTTTCAGTCCTCACCTTGTGCCAGACAAATTAAGCTTCAGAATGCTTCCTTCCATCTCCTCTCAAAGCTTATCACATTTCACCTAGGGTTGTGTAATAACCATTTGATCCATAAACTTACTATATGCTGATGGGTTTGTTATTTCCCACAGATTTTCACTTTAACTGGAGGTTTTGTAGAGACAAACTTTAATTTGAAGGAGTTAAGCTAAAGTTGGAATATTTCCATATCATTATGGAGAAGATGTAAGTATGGAGAAGATAATTTAACAATCCTTAGTCATCATCCAACAGATTGCTATCTGTTTCATCTATAAAGTCCTGAGACTTTAAGAAGTCTTTGAGTTAATCACCTGGGAACAAGAAAACCTTTAGAAAGACTGCCAAGAGATTATTAATTGCTTCAGAAAGCTGATTTCTTGTTATGTGGTAGCAGAAAAACATCTTGAACAACAAGTACATCTATGAGTCTGTCTTGTGAAAAATCTACAGAGAGCTAAAGATTTTCTTCACCAAATAAAACTGGAAGTGGTCCTTAAATGAAGGGTTGCAAAGCAAAGGTTATCAGGCACAAAACTATTAACATACATGTGTAGAGGAGCTAGATATAAAACAATGTGGGGCTGCATGGTCCATGGGAAGCATACTGTAAGAACATACATACCACGATTGTGGGCCAAACTCAACCCACAGGACCTCAGTGCCCCTGTACTAAACTCCCCAGGCCATTGTACAGGAATGAGAGTAGGATTCATTACTTTGATTGCCAAAGAAATAAAAGGAAATTATCAGTTAGGGTATTCAACTGTCCTGGATTGCTTGGGACTGAAGGATTTACTGAGATGTAGAACTTTCAGTGCTAAACCCAGGACAGTCCTAGGCAGGTGGAGATAACTGGTCACCTTAAATCAAGACGATTATTGTGCTATGCTTTGGGCTGGAGAAACAAAACATAACAACAATGTGGGGTCTAGTTTTTACAAAAAGTTGAAACTAGTAGTTTGGTTCGAGTCACAAAGCACATAAGGAAGAGGGCAGAGTAATCACCAAGACAGTCTCCAAAGAATAGTTAGAGTGATCAGGCAATTAATTGTCATAGGCACCTGATACATACCACTAACATTGTCTTTTCAATATCTCACACAAAAACAATACTGTAAAAATGTAGCAGCTCTTGAAGAGACCATAATATGAAACAAGTCAGAAGCAATTTAATGACCCAGTTGTGTTAAAACCAGCATCCTAAAGTCAAAGGAGGTAACGGTTCTGTAATTTAAAAACAAGATACATTTCATAAAATGTGCAGAAAAAAATGATGAAAAGAATAGATTGGTTGTTTAGAGTAGTGGTACTCATTTGGAGGTGATTGTGGCTTCCAGGGGACGTTTGGTAATGTCTAGAGACATTTTTAGTTTTTGCAAAATGTTTTAGGGGAAGTGTGCTACTGGCATTTGAATGGTAGAGAGCAGGGATGCCGCTAAACATCCTACAATACACAGGACAGTGCCCCACAACAAATTATCTGGTCCCAAATGTCAACAGTGTCTGAGTTGAGAAATCCTAGTCTAAGGCCATAAATCCTTTATAAAAACCATTTGGTTAATGCCAGTAATGTTAATGTGCATGATAGTAATTTAGTTCTATGAATGTGATTCCTAACTTGACACAGGGCAATAGAGAGAGACAAGGAGGGAAGTAATGAGGAATAAGGAATGCTATGGATGATGCACAAACTAAGGGCTACATGCAAGGAGGAGAAGAGAACTCGACTGTCAAACTACAACCTTCCAGCTCACTGGGGCCCACTCCCATCAACTCCTGCAGAGGCCCTGTAACATTCCACTCAGGAATGCAGAGGTCTAGTTACTGCAACTCACTTCTCCATGCCACAGTCCCGTAAGTGAAAGGATGATATGCACATGGACATATCTGCTAGCTACAAAATGCAGGGTGAGAATGATGGCCTTGGGGAGTTAGGAAATGGGGGTGTGAGAAGGTGAAAGGCCGAAGAAGCAAAAAACAGAGAAGTAGCAGTTAGAAGGAGGAATAGTCTGCACATATGCAAATACATTTGGAAGGTGGGAGAGAAAGGCAGCATTGTACCAGTATCACTCCAAGTTATATTCAGAAGCTGTGAAAGGGAAATATGTATCACAGGAATGACCAGTTTGCAAGAGAATCATTATTTAAAATGAAAATGTTCAAAGTACTAACCAGGAGTCTAAAGACCACCCCATTTTCGGCATACCTCACTACTGGATTTTATACCTACTAAAGTAATAGGAAGAAAGAAGAAATTAGATTGTTATTTAAGGATCAATACATATTTGCTGCCTCTCCAGCATAAAAATCCTCTTCGATGGCCTGAAATACCATGGAGCTATTCTAGGAGGTAGAAGCAAGATATGACCTTCCTTCTGGTTCCCACAGATGAACATGTAATTTTTAGTATTATCTGTCATGAAAGATCTGTCAGGGTTCATCTGAAAACACAGTAGAAAGAATAATGATTCTTCACAGTTGTGTCTTTGAACAAACAAAATCAATTCAGAGATAATTGAGGCTAACAGTTTTATAGATATACTCACTAAGATTATGTTCCAACCCTAAACTTTCAAGGTAGAGACTGAATTTTTTTTCTTACTGCACTGCAATTTTGATGAAAATATTACTACCCAAAAAAGCTATCTTTACTTAAAAATCTCTAGTTACTAACAGCATAATAGATAATATGGTCACAGACATTTTGTAAAGTGAAGATTTTAAATTCAACACTATTTTAAGGACATTGCTATAATTTTGAAATTTTGAAATCACAATTACGTTCATGTTAAAAATAATTTATTACTTATATTTTTATAAAACATGAACTTATTAGTTGACTATTTTTTAAAAAATGTGTATTTTTGGATGTTGTTTCTCATCTTCCTTTACCTTAATCCATATGCCCTAGTTCCTTTAGAAAAAGAAAAGGTATTTATTTTCTAGATTTGAAATGCAAACTCAGCACTTTATTCTGGTTAAGCAGGAAGGGGGTGAGTGTACCCAAAGGCCCTGCAGGGCACAAAGGGAGTTTCCCCATCCAGAACAATAGCTTTCTCGAAATTTTAAAGTGGGAATTATCACAGAGAAAAGTATTTAAAAGGCTGTAATGAAGAAATATATAGGCATCTGTGTAGTGAGAAAAAATAGGCTTTGAAATGATCTGGATGTATGTTAGATTTACAGCTCCATCAGTACAGGAGACTGTGAGCAAGTTTCTCTCCACATCAGGAAATAGGAATTAAAAAGGTAAAAGACATGGGTCTTAAGACGATATTCAATATTTCCTTTCTCAACAGAATATTCAATATTTCCTTTCTTCTCTTTCAAAATTAATGAGAAAGATACAAAAAGAAGTACTGAAAAGGTTTGTGAAAACTACTTTCAGAAAGGCAAAAAGTCTGTCTTTTAAAATAATTATAGTATAGCAAAATATCAACTTCAATCTAAAATCTATAGATAACTTTCTGTTTGAAGGTGAGTATATTAATATGAAAGGTAATCTCTTTACATCTGTGAGGAAATCTGCAATTTTCTACCATATATGAAATTTAGAAGTTTTTCTTCTGGCTCAGTCCTTGGTATAAATGTTGGTTTGTTTTCAAAAGTTGAAAAGCAGGCTGGGTGCAGTGGCTTACACCTGTAATCCCCAACACTTTGGGAGGCTGAAGCCGGCAGTTTGCTTGAATCCAGGAGGTGGAGACCAGCTTGAGCAACAAAGCAAGACATATCTCCACAAAAAAAGAAAAAAGTTGAGCCTATAGTCCCAACTACTCAGGAAGCTGAGGCAGGAGGATCGCTTGACTGCCCAGGAATTTGAGGCTGCAATAATCTATGATCATACCACTGCACTCCAGCCTGACCAATAGAGCAAGATCTTGTATTTTTTTTTTAAAGTCCCACATTGCATACTTGATGTCTCTTCTTTCGAATCTCTAATCATTTTTCCATATTTATTTTCTAATACTTTCATTAATACTGCTGAGACAGCTGGAAACTATTACAAATTCCGCCCATCCCTGATATACATCACCCAATCTTTATCCTTTGCTGTGACCCACTGGCCAAAGTTCACCTCCCTTGAGTTATTCAATGGGATGAATTTATGGAAAAATACAAGATTAAAAAAAAACTTTCTAAGACTCTAATGAAGATTTGTGATCAGAAAATCCTATTAAATGGTAGCACATTTAATGAGGGCTTAAATAATATTATTAACAGTCCAATAATTAGACCCCTTCACCACACAATGTCAAGCTAACAGGGTCATAATTTCCGGCAACACTGGTTACAGGTGCTCTGGAGTTAGCTGTTTTTCATTCTTCTCCTTTAATTTGATTAAGCCAGAAATAATGAGCAAATGCAAACCCTTCCTGGAACGCATCATTCAATTTCTTTTCAAAAATTGCACAGGTGGAGTCCAGCAGTTTCTTGGCCATGTACTGAGGTAGGATCCATGAAATACAAAATATTCCATCAATTATCAACTAAAGATGAGATGCACAATGAAGCTTCTCACATTGGTGTTTACCCTCATGATCTGGTTTTATTAAAATGTACTCCAAAACATTATCCAGGTATGAAGAAAAGAATACATCATTGAGCAGACAGAGGTTAAGCTTCCCCAAAGAGTGAAAGCAGAGGATGTTACAATACTAAGTATACCAGACAGAACCATGAATCCTGTAATGCAGTCTTTGATTAGGAATGGACTACATAGGAAAACTCACTGCTAAAATCTGGCCACTATTCACTGTAAGCTTATTTATATGGGTGGGAGACTACTAAGGGTGAGAAATTTGAAATTATTTACATATCCTGACATACGGACAATATTCTCCAGAAAGCTGACATATTGGAATGGTTGCTGCTATTGTTACAAGTTTGTGCACGTTAGTATAATAATTCCACAATGTTCAGAGAAGCTGAGCTGAGAGGTGGCTCCAGGATAAATCTTCTTATATCATTTCTTGATAAAAATCATCAAAAACTGGAAAGTAAAGTCCCAACTACTAAACTAAGCTTTCATGACCTCCCATAGGCTGATCTGAATCTGCTTTTCAAGCTAACCCACAACACTCTCATTCAAAGATATAGTACATGTCAGTCAATGTCCTACTTTGGTGTATTTTAAAACATGTCCTGTACTTTCTTAAACCCAATGTGTGTCACTGATGTTTTCTTTGCTCAAAATGCTTTCTCCCCACTGAGAGGCAAGCTCCACCTCTGATTGTTCAAATTCCATCTATCTGATTAAAGCCTTTAGCAATTTTCAGGAAAAGGAAACAGCAGATACTGTACATGACATACATTCATGTATGTATGATATACATATTTATACACACATTTTTTATACACCTGTGTTTGTAATTTAGTGGTTAAAAGAGAATCAGACACACATAGGTTCAAATCTTAGCCCTGCTTCATAGCTATGGGATCATGAGCAGATTTAAGTTTATTTAGTATAAAATGAGGATGGCAATGTCTACTGATAGCACTATTGTGAGAATAAAATAAAGTAGCATACCTGAAGTCTCTGGAATATAACAGGAGCTCAAGAAGAATATTATTAATAATACCATTACTTCTCTGGAATTAAGTAAATAAAAGGAAAAAAATAGAAATCTAAAAATTGCTTCTTAAAATAATTATTAATTATTATTATTATTGTTATTTTGAGACAGAGTTTCGCTCTGTCACCCAGACTGGAGTGCAGTGGCACAATCTCAGCTCACAGCAACCTCTGCCTCCTAGGTTCAAGCGATTGATTCTCCTGCCTCAGCCTCCCAAGTAGCTGGGATTACAGGCGTGCACCACCATACCCAGCTAATTTTGTATTTTCAGTAGACACAGGGGTTTCACCATGTTGGCCAGGCTGGTCACAAATTCCTGACCTCAAGCGATTTGCCTGCCTTGACCTCCCAAAGTGTCGGGATTACAGGCACAAGCCATTGTGCCTGGCCAAAATAATTTAAATTAAAATTTTAAATTAAACATACGCCTTACCATTTGGAGAAAAAAAAAGCATAAAATAGTATAATTAAGGAGAAAATTGAAATTTTAAGAAACTCAAAAGGAAATGGGAAAAGGTCATTCTTCCTTTGATAACAGGAATCTATGATTCCCATAATCAAAATTATATCACAAATTTTAAAAGTTAAAAAAATTTAAACCTAAACAAAATAACTGTTTTACTTCCATAACATCCTACCTTCTGTTTTTTTGAATGAATACTGCTTGTTCTTTTCTTTACAAATCTCCTTTCAAGTTTATTTCACCCTGTGTACTGATACTTCTTTTGTTTCCAAAATGTGCATATGGATTGCTTTTCAAATGAATATGATTGCTGGGTTTTCTTGTGAATATAAGGGCCTTTCTCTCCTATGTATCTCAAAACAATTTCTGGAAAGATGGTGTTAGGTGGGAACCTTGGCTGGGCTCTGCTCCTGTGTGGGGAACCATGGAGGTGAGGTTGAAGTCCTCATTCAGCTTTTGCTAGTAGATGTTCTCCTTCCTTCCTTTTGCATGCAGACTGGAAGAACTGGAACAAAAGCCTTGCTTCAAACATGTCTCAAACCCTGTGACCTTACTTCCACAACAGCTTCCCCAAGCCACTCTCCACTTAAAGCTGAAGTAGCCTTATCCCAGGAAAGAATGACTCACATGTAGCTGGGCAATCGTTTCTCTTGCCATTTGTTCCAGTCTGTCCACAGAAGGAGAATTAACAACCAAATATGGTTCGAGTTTTTAATCTTCAAGCAAATTGTAACCTGTAAGTGGGGAAAGTGTAAAGTGCAACAACAAATAATGTGTGACACCTACACTACACCATGTAGCTGACTTCATACCTCCTTGATTTGCCCTCCTTTCATATCTGTATAAATCTCCCCAGCACTCCTGAGATTATAATCTGCTTAAGGACACCATCATGACTATGTTGGAGTTTGTTAGTCAGCTGGTTATCTGTTTAATCTCATAAATGACTGTGAACATAGAGGCATTTTTTAGAAGTACATCTTTGACTTTTCATAATTACCTTCAAAGAAGTGATAAGAAGGTGTTCTTCGGAATGAGATCTTAATTCATATTTAGGACTAGATGCTGGGTGACTGTTTCGGGAATCACAAACATACAAAACAGCATTCTAGTGGTGTTCTAAACCACTTAACGTTAGCCTTCGAATTCCATGTTAAATTTAAGTGGTAAACAATCTTTTCTTCAAGTTGCTTCCTCTCTCATGGCCACCACTGACGCAGACATCAGCTGGAAGAGAGGCCTCCAAGGATTAGGCAGTGTGCGTTAGACATAACTTGGCAGCCACTTGTAAACTCCAAAGAAAGTAAATCAAATATCAGTGACCGATTGTGAAGCTCAATTGCTTCCTCTTTTCCAGTTTCTCACAAAACTGTTTGAATTCAGCTTCCTTTCTCCCTAACAGTAGCCAATTCTGACGGAAGTCTATTCTCTCAAACTTGCTTCTATTTAGGAGAAATTGCTTATATTGTTTTTCCCAAGCCTATTAATAACCTAGAAAAGAGTTACACACGCTGAATCTTAAACAACACCACAAATATTTTCCTGTGGCATTATCACTGTATTTTTCTAAGGTCTGAACTCTATCTTTACCTCAAGAATATGAATTCAATAGCAAATTCACAAAGGGTAATATCACAGAAACTATACACACGATTTATTTTCCATAGTCATGCAGCTGCAGTTTTAATAGTTTCATTTTTTTTTCTGAATTTCACGAAAGGGCATGTAAGAGGTAATGTTAATATTTTTATATAAATTTAAATATTTCAAAAGGTAAAGTTGTATTGATTTATGTCTTGTGAGTCTTTAATATGTGATAGCAGTAAATTGTGTTTGAAATAACATTAAAAAAAAGAAAAAGCATTGAAAAAATATACCTTACACCTAACTATTTTTTCCTATCTCTTCACTTAAACTAATCACAAAGGGTTCACTGGAGGATGTTATGAGGAATTATTCTTTAAAATATGAAATTTGTAAGAGACATTAAATGAAAAAAAAAAAAACCACACACTGAAACCCTACTGATGCCTAACAGACAGAAACTTTCCATTTCTCCATACGCAGTAGTACAGAACTAGATACTTCAGCCTTTTCAGATTAGACAAGTTAACACATTTCCAAAAAAATGCTTGTGAGACACTAAAATGTATCTGTGGAACCCAAATTCTTTCCAAAAAATTCTCATTTTCTGTTGCTCCTCCATACATCAGTTCTGCTCAGGTCTGGCGACTATTCTACTTTTCCAACAGGTCTGCCCAGGAGTAGCTCTCCTTTCCTCACCATCAGCTCTTAACCAGTTGAACCAACCCAGATTCCTTGCAAACTAAACAGAACATAATCCAAGGTAGAGCAATCCTTTTTGCGTCACTAATCCTGCCAGATACTGCCCATTCCTCTGCCTTTACTAATGTCTGTCTTTTAATTATATGTAGATTCTTCCTGGTGAAGACATCTCATCTTTCAAGACAGCTAAGCATTTTTATTGCTATAAGATTTTCCTGACTCCACTCCTCAACCTGGATAGAATTAATAACTCTTTTTTGGTTCCCACTATATGCTGTACAGACTGCTATTATATGCTTACACCATTCTACTGTATTCATCTATTTACTTCTTTATTACCCTCCTGGTAGACAGAAAATTACTGGAGGGTCTAAACTATGTCTTTCACTATGTCATTACTATATTTTACATAACATGACATTACTGCGTCATAGTACATATGACACTAAATAGTTGGAGAACGGGAGCAATGAATGAATAACTGCAAACATGAGATAAATTTAAATTGTGCTTCAACAAAATTTTCAGAAAAGGTCTTCTTTTCATTACCTGGAGAATAGATTTTTCTGCTACTTTAAGACTCAAACAGGAGGTGGTAGACAGACTTGCTTGACCTCATCTGACTTTCCTATAATTCACACAAAAGTCTTCAATAATTAACCCTGACAAAGGTTGTCAAAGAGCAATTCCTAATCTTAGAGTGAAAGGTTGCTCAAGTGTGGATTGTTTGTATAATACAAGGGCATTTTTTAATGGAGTTTCACGAGTATCTAGTGAGTTAACAATAAATGGTAAAACACTGGCAATTCAGCTACTCTGGCTTCCTGGGGTTAATCTCTTAGATGCCTGCAGCCTTTGTCCTCCTGTGAAGTGAAGAAACTGTGTTAGCAGTGCCTACATGGATATTTTTATATAATTGTAAATGCTTATATTGCCCTTCTAAAATAAATATTTAATTGAACACTTTAAAAGTGTTCCAAAAGTTAAACCAACAATTTAATTTAAAGATTTCCAAGGTACAAAACCATGCTCCTTAAATGCAAAGATTTTAGTTTTTTTAAATATTTCTGAGAGGAGGATTAGGATTTGTGATTGTTATATCTTATTAATCCATTTATTTACAAAATACCAGGCATTGTAATGACTGCTTTCAACTACTCATAGGTTAAAAGGCTTTTGGAGTGTGGTATCAGATACAATAAACTCAGAAACTAAGAGTAGATTAATCACAATTATAAACATGACCTAAACATGACAGGATTGCTCATTATGTCTAGACATCCTGCAGTATGTTGGGGTATTTCATTTCTCAATTTCAACATACTAACAATGTAATAACCTTGATATTTATAGCCATATTTTAATGGCCCATTTTAATTATTTTGGCACTACAGACATTTACTAGTTAACACTATTAAAATTAGCTTTTACAATTAGTTATTATCTATCTTGGAGTATCTAAATTTTAACACAAAATTTCATTCCTTTGGAACACAGACATTACTTAGGAAAACTTTTTCTGTACTCCAATAATTGTTCTCTCATCTCCAAACCTGCTTCTTAATAAGTTACTAAAGCTGCTTGAAGAGCCAATTCTCTTTGCACACTCTGTGACCACAAGTTTCAGAAAACTTACCATTTGCTATCCAACTTATTTGCAGAGCACCTACCTGACCCAGGAAGCTAGTTTCCAGAAGTCTCCCTCTTCCCCTCCATCTCACCTTTCCTGACCCCACCACCACCTGGTTTCCTTGTAGTCTGCTTCTATGGACTTTTGAAGGAAGAAGAGCCATATAACAGAGGCTGTGGGAGCAGTATGGGCTTTCTTGAAGTTCCCAGTTAGAAATCAGAATGTTTTAACACGAAGAGAAGTTACAAATTCAATTAGGATCCAGAACAGTCAGACAGATTAAGAGTCAAATAAGCTTTGGTGGCTGGCTTGAGATCTTGACTTCTCTTTATAAGCATTTCTTTTCTGGGAAAATTAATTCTGCATTGAACACATCTAAATTATAAACCAAGAATTATAATACAATTTGTTTATAAAAGATGTAGATCACTACAGATTACATTTAAGAATATGAATAATTTCTTCTTTAAAATTCTGGCTTTAAATTCAGGGTCTTGCTCTGTTTCCCAGGCTAGAGTGCAGTGGTGAAATCATAATTCACAATCATAGCTCACTGCAGGCTCAAACTCCTGGACTCAAGGGATCCTCTAGCCTCAGCCTTCCCAGTAGCTGGGGTTACAGGCATGTGCCCCATACCCAGTTCTGGTTTTGTTTTGCTTTAAGGAATTGAGAATATAGGAAGTGCTTATTTTCATGAGAAAATGGTGATAGGTTAGTTTTAGATTGCCAAGAATGCTCTTTATAAGAAAGCCTAAGATTTCTTTTAACTTCATTGTTTTTCTTATTTAACCAGGTTGTTTTTTGTTTTTTGTTTTTTTTTGAGACAGAGTCTTGCTGTCGCCCGGGCTGGAGTGCAGTGGTGCGATCTCCACTCACTGCAAGCTCCGCCTCCTGGGTTCACGCCATTCGCCTGCCTCAGCCTCCCGAGAAGCTGAGACTACAGGTGCATGCCACCACGCCCAGCTAATTTGTATTTTTAGTAGAGACGGGGTTTCACCATGTTAGCCAGGATGGTCTCGATCTCCTGACCTCGTGATCCGCCCATCTCAGCCTCCCAAAGTGCTGGGATTACAGGTGTGAGCCACCGCACGCGGCCTTAACCAGTTTTTTAAATTGAAAATCTAGTATGAGCCAAAAAGCTTTTTATGAGTGCTAGAAACAGCAATGAACAAGACAGGCAATTCCTGATCTAATGGAGTTGACATTCCATTAGAAAGGGGAAAAGGAGACAGAATACAATACATGAACAAGAAAATTTAGATATGGATATATGATATGAATAAACATAACAGTGATGAGACCCCGTAGGGGTGGGTCTTCTTGCGGAGGCCACTCTGAGGTGGTAACGTAAGAGTTGAGTGAGTCAATGCTGTATAAATGGAAATACGGATGAGCAAAACACTGGGGCAGAACTTTCCAGGCTTAGGTATTAACTAGAACACAGGATGTAGGACAAGAAGAAGCTGGGCATATTTAAAGAACTGTGCCCACTGTGGCTGTGCTGGGTGAACGGGGAGGTGGTAGAAGATGAGATCAGAGAATGGGCAGAGACTGATCCTGAGGGAGATGGAGGTCAGAGTCCCTCTGTTATGTGCAATAGGAAGACACCAAAAAGTTTTAGGGAAAATGATTAGAGTCAATTTAGTCTTTAAAAGGACCACTCCTGCTGCTGAGAGAACAGACTATGGAGAAAGGGGTCAGGTTAAGACCACAGGGAAGAGTTTGGAGTCCATAAAAGAAGAAAGGTGGCTTAGGTGAGCAAGATAATGGTGACAATTGACAGAAGGGATCACAAATGGGATAAACCCAAAAAACAGACAGTAGAAAAGCATTTAATTCCCAAATATGGTTAACTAAGGTTTTTTTTTTTCCTTTCTTTTTTTAAGAGACAAGGTCTTTATTGCCCAGGCTGGAGTGCAGTGGCGTGATCACAGCTCACTGCAGCCTCCAACTCCTGGGCTCAAGCAATTCTCCTTTCTCAACCTCCAGAGCAGCTGGGACTACAGCGTGCACCACCATGCCTGGCTTTTTAATTTTTTTCTCTGAGCATTTTTTGTAAAGAAATCTATACTTTAAAAGTTTTTAAAAATGCAAAAATTGAGAATTTGTACTCAAGATTTTCATTCAACCTTGATCTCTGTCTTGCAGAAGAGCGAGAATAAACGGGGGGTTGGGGCTTAGAGGTGCACTCTGGAGTTGTGGAATTTCTCATAGTTTCCACATCAAACCCCATAAAATCACTTGCACATGCCATCATCTACAGATGAAATGTGACCACAAAACCCACTTGGTTGTTGATATTTGACATGTTTCAGTTTGGCAATAACATTCGCCCTTACAACCAAAACATAGTGCCTGAAACCAAGCTCCTCCCCCATCCTGGCAGAACACAGAGTGTATGTTCCCGAAAGATGGTATCTGAATAGGGCTCTGCCAGAAAGGCAGTTCTAGACTGCACACAACTAGCCTATAGGAAAGGCTGCCCTGTCTTTGTGACTGATGTTATTTTGGTCTTTTACCTTTTGGCATTGGATGTGATATATGAAAAAGAACAGTTTCTTCCCTTGGGAGCTTAAAGTTCAGCCAGGCAGGTAGGCAACTACATAAAAGGCACTCTGCTGTACAGCAAGCAGATAAAGCTCAGGAGACACAACTTCCTGGGGTTTAGGTCAATGTAAATCTAAAAACCAATTTTGTAAGGACCACTCATTAAAAAGTTTCACAGAAGGAAGCAAGATTTCACAGAGTTACAAAGGAAACTAAAGAGAAGTCTTTAGTTCTAGCATGCTTACTATAGTAACAGAGTAAATGTTAAAACTGTCTGCAAGAAGACCATGCTATTAGGCTCCAAGGAAGTGGAGGGAAGAAGCACTACCGGGGTCTCTGAGGGCTCCTCTGTAAAGGGGTGGAGAAGGGGTTATGGAAACACCCTTTGGAGATAGACTTACTTGATCTGAGACCTGGGGCAAGTCACAGAATTGTTTAGTGTCTCAGATTTCTTACACACAATGCAGAGGCAATAATACATATACTGACTATGCCATAGAGTGCTGGAATTAACTTATCAAGTGTTTATCATCGTCCTTAGCAGTACTGTTTCATTAAATAAGTGTCTCTGTATTTTCACAAGACCAGTGCTCTAGCCCTTCAGCTATGGAGCCAAGTATCTCTGTATTTCAAAATATAAGTCTATTTCAAATTTCAAATGTACACACACACACACACACACACACACACACACACACACACACAAGCTCATACCATATGTATAATTTTCTAGATAGGCAAGCATATTATATATATCCAATTTTTAAGGTTATAACAATTCAACACAAGCAATGAGGACACAAACACTTAGAAAATACTCAGATCAGGGAAAAAAAACTCTTAAAAACTATAAACAAAATTACTGATGATGTCCATTACAGATAATGCAGACCAACGGAAACAAATTTCATGGTCTACATTACCTATAGTACAAGGAAAGGCACAGTTACAGGCTTGACAGAGCCAATTATTGAAAAAGGGTGGGGCCCCAAATTCTCCCCTCCCTTGCAGCTGATTTAAGAAAGCCTGAAGCACAGAAAAGCAGGCTCAGGGGCTCAGGTTCTCTGGAAGGATTCAGTGTTCAACTCAGGGCAGAACCTGAAGGGCCTCTGCATGTCGTGAGGTAGCAGGAATCCTCCTTGCCCTCCTCTTCTGAAATCTCCTTCCTCGGATCTTGTGTCTTGGGCATTTGAACATGATCCACTATGTATCTTCTCAACAATGCTGCAAATCAGGCATTCTTATTATTTTCCTAGTGATTTTTTTTCCACTGTAGTTGACAGATGTTACCCCATCAGTCTCTCTAATTCCAAAACTGAGACACTTCCCCCTACGCTCCATATCTGTTACAGTTCTTTAGAGCTCTCATTAAATATTCATAAAAACAACTTTTTTCATATGTTGCTTTTGCCTAGTCAGGGACATCAAGGAAGGAAGGCTTTTAAAGGTCAAGGATAGTTTATGTTACTGAAGCTGTAATAAAAGGTTCCAAACTGGTATTTTTTGGTAAAGTCTGGATTTGCCTCACAAATTTTCCTAGTAACGAAAGCTATGTTGCAAACATGATAATGTCACTGTAGCCTCATTCAGAATATTACTCACTCTTTCTGTTGCTTTGCTACTTCAGCACTTGGGAAAGTCTGAATTTCCCAGTATTGTGACCATGATACTATTTTTGTATCTTTAGTGTCCACTTATTTTCAATGTAGTGAGAACAGTCTATTTGAGCTGAATTTTGAAAGCTTGTTGAGGAAAAGGAATTCGATTTTATTATTAAGAGACTTTAAGAAAGACAAATTTGATACATAAAGGAAAATGTAGCCTTAAATAAAAAGAAAGCAAAAATAAAATAATATTTTTTTGGGGAATTCAATACCTTAATATGCAAATTTCACTCTATTTTGAGTACCAAAATCATTGTAATCCTCCAAAGCACACACTTGTGAATAGCATAATATTAATATTTTTGGTTGTAGAATGACTTATATAATTATTTGATAATTGCTAATTATAAATTTGTTTCATGATTGATTGCAAGTTTACATAAAGTTCAATAGTAACAATACCAAAAATATAAGGCCATCACAGAAATTTGGATTCAAGAAATGCAAAAAGAAAGCTCAAACTACAGCTCTAATTTTCTCCTAGATATAAGGTGATTAAGTTAGGTGCATTAGCAGGGAGTCACTTGCCTAGACCTAAAAAATTCAAATTAATCACAACATATAAATAAACACATGGATCAAAGAGAAACTTACTAATTCCTATTACCCTTTCAACAAACTTCAACAGGAAGTTCTCTTTCAAGGAAAGAAAATATTAGTGGAGGAGATGGGGGAGACCTGCCCCTTGTGTGGCAGCCCCAGGGCCCAGATTCCCTGCAGCAAACCTATGATCAGAGCCACCAGAATTGTTCCCCACTTCCTGTGCTTTGATTGCCTTCTTCTTTCATTGACAAACTTCACAGGTGTGGTCTGGTAGCCTCATCCATTTTCTTCCTATCCATTTACTCTTTAACCTTTTCTAATTTTCATCATTTCTCTCCAAGTTTCCAGGGACCTTGTTCTTGCCAAATTTGAGGACTAATCTCCTCATGATGCTCAAATCTTTCCATTTGAAACCTTTTTCCTTCTTTGGCTTCAAAAACTTTAACATTTTCCAATCCTCTTGTAGTGATCCTTCTCATTCCACATAGCGTGGTCTCTAAATACGTGAGTTTTGGAGCCAGACACATCTGGCTTCAAATTCTTCTTCCTTCAATGTTCTACCTATGTAAGTTAGGGTAGGTAACTGAATATCTCTTAGTCTCTTTAGGGATGATAACAGTACCCATCTCATCTGGTTGTTATAAGAGTAAATAATGCAATATGTGTAAATCACTAAATTCAGTGCCACAAAGCCCAGCCCTTAATGACATTAGTTATATGTATTCTATATACACAGGTTCTCTACCCAACCTGTCTCAGAGAACCTATTTTAAAGTGTCAAGAAGCTGTACATTTATGTAGATAACATCTAAATCTCCATGCTATGGAAACCTTAAACCCCTCATGCTCAAAATTGCACATATCGTTCTCCAATTATTAAACCTTTCCACTTTCATATTTAAGTCAAATGAAACCACTAGTTTCACAGTCACCTTAAAAATCTTCTCTCTCATTTGGTGACAGAGTAAATTTCATTAATTCCTCATTTATGAAGCAACTTAGTATAGCAGTTTTAAAAATGACTGGAGGCTGGCTGCTGTGTTCAAATACTAGTTCTGTTACTTACCACTATGTGACCTATGGCAAGTAATTAAACTCTTTATGTCACAATTTCCTAATCTGTAAAATGAGAATAATATTAGTACCTACCTCATAATCTCTACCTCCTGTAATATGTAATAAATATTACATTAATGTTTAGTAAATAAAATTTGCAATGTGGCTTTTTTATTGATTTAAAGACAGACAAGAAAAGTGCAGAAATTTAATAAGGCAAAATAAGATATTTTTATTAGTCCTTATTCCTTCCTTTGAATTCTCATTGCCATTACCACTGTCTAAGCTCAGAACCCATCCTAATCGGATGATGGTAAAAGCAGTCCACCCAACCTCTCTACTCTCCCTAATTAGAGTCTCTTACCTTCTTTAGTCCATTTTTCCTTTAATCCTTCATTGCCAGATCAATCCTTAAAAATACTCCTTTCATATTGTGACTTTTTGGACTAACTCCATTGGTGACTCTGTAACTCCTCATGGTTCTCAGACAATGGGAAGCTGCCTCACCTGCAGTCAAAACTTACCTATTTCTCTGTGGGATCTGCAAGCCTTACTCAAGTGAAAGCAGCCAGGATCACTATAACTTAGATGTCTTTGTTCTTGTTCTTTTCCTTGCCTAGAATGTGTCACATTCCAAGTCTTCAAATCTTATACATTCTTCAACAACCAGGTCAGATTCCATTTCCTCCACAGAGACTTTGCAAACTGGGGTCCCTTATTCTCAGCCTATGCAGTACTACAGAGGAAGAGATTTTTTTCTCTGTATATACTTGGTTCTTACTATGAGGTTAGTGCTTTAGGTTATTATTTACACGCTTTGTGTGCATGTATGCATCTTGCTTGGTATTTCTCATTGCGCAATCTTAATATTGTACATATGATAGATGAGATGGAAGTGGTCGAACTGCTGGATGAATAATGGTCTTGACCTGAGATGCGGGTCTGGCTCAGTTTTTTGGTTTAATTTCACAATTGAATGTTGAATGGTCACTCAGTCATGAATGTAATAATATTTTCACCATGCCATTGAGCATACCTAAATTGAGTCAAATAGTTTAATAAATTCAACTTAAATGTATATTCATATCTGTGTGCAGAATGTCTTTATTCATATTCACCCAACTAATCTCTACATGAAGAAAAGATACAGTTAAATACCCCAATCTCTACATAAAGACACATTTAAATACAGTTAATTGTACAAAAAAAAAAAAAAAGGCTTACATACTCAATATTATTCTAGCGGGGGGAGGGCACCTACAGGATCTTGGTAGAAAAGAATGAACTTGGGGCAGGGGAACTAGTTATATCTTCTTTCTAGTAGTTTATTTTATGTCCAAAACAACACTGAGAAGTTTTACAAATTGTCAAATGCTATGAGAATGACCAGAATAAAGGCCTTGTTCATACTCTAAATTATCTCTTAGTCCACTTGCCTAAGGACCTTTCCCTTTCTTAGAAAAAAGAAATAAAAAAAATCAGAAGGACACAGCAGCAGCCTTTCATTAATGAGGGAAAGATACAAGTGTGCAGTCGTTTTAAAGGCAATAATATTTGAAATGAAACTAAAAAAATTAATTAATGGGATTTCTTAAATAAAATTTCATACTAAGAAAAATAGCTTGATTATATGGATTTAGTAATAATAATAACAGCAACAGTGGCAGCAACAACAACAACAACCAGAGATGTTTTGGGGTCATAATATAGCTAATCTAATACCTTACTTAACAAGTAGGATCCGGAAACCCGCCATAGACTCACTGATGCACTACCTGAATTTTAACAAGATGCCTGCATTGAAGTTTAGGAAACACTTTCCTTGCTACTTTCTTGATCCATTTATATCTCCACTAACATATAATCATAAATGTTCTACTGAAAAATGACCCTCTGCTTCTCAATTTCCTAATCTTCAAAGCAAGATTTAATTTTGATCCTTGTACTTAAACGCTTACATACTTTTTTATTCAGCAAAAAAGTAGAAATAACAAAGGATATTCTGGTTAATAAGTGATTAACAAAAACTTCCAACTAAGGAAAATTCTTTTCTGACTGATGAACATTTTACCATCTCTATCTTACTCTGCTTCAGTTGATTAAAATATGCTTGTTACATATGTGTCTTCAAGCCTTACTCACACAATGACTTTCTTGAGTTGGCAATCTCAACAAAGCAGCGCAAGCTGCTGGAACAGAAACCAGGATTCATAGTATCCAGAAGGAGCCAGCATTTGGGAAGTCACACAGGACTTCTGCCTTTAGTCATGCACAAAGATTCCCAAAGATGCTAGGTACTCAAAGCGAGAATGACATAATTCCAGATTAAAGCAGAATCTTTTCGCAAGGGTGTCTGAGTAGGATCCTCCCTGGGAAACAGGACATTGCAAAATGACATCCCAAAATGTTGCAGAATGAGAAAGTGATCAAAAGACAGTAACAGTCCAACTTTTTTAAATTCCAGAGAATAGACCCCTAAGCTATAGTCTTGCGGTTAATGTACGGACTTATACACATTTCTAGATGAATTTGCTATTTAGTTTCAGAAAATGTGTTTATGCTGTACAAATAACAAACCATAGAGAAGAAAAACAAATATTTTCCCTTGTTAAGTATTATTAATCAGAGTAAATACAGTTCTATCTTTTCATCATGTTTTCTATGAGGAAACTTCTGTTCTTTTTTTAGATTTGGAGGATTGCTTTTCCTGACAGAACCTCCAGAACTGAGAACCCTGAACTGCAAACTTGCTCTTTGTCACTAGTTGTTTACCAGCCTTATCAGGGCACACATGGGTTGGCAATGTGATTCAAAGATAAAAATCCCAAAGATATAATTAGATGTTTTTCTCAGAAATATCACCCAATACCATGAAAATTTGTTTGCTGTTTCTTCACATCATACTTGAAGAGCCCCACAATTTCTTGTCATTTAATCATTTTCATTTATATAAGTGAGAAAAAATAACTTGGTATTGAAGAAATATGTACATTTTTTGATAAACTGAAAATAGAGACCTTTATCTCAAAGCTTCTATGACATAATAAAAACATTTTTCTGTATCAATAACACACTTAATGCTCATAAATATAATGATGAAGCTAATTTTATGTCCCTGAATTTAAACATATATAAGCAGTAGAAAGATATATTCAAAGCCAGTGGAGTACAATCTTTCTTATGGTACATTTGCATTTAATTAAATTCTGAATAAAGAGGATAAAAAGAGAAAGGTAGGACACCACAAATGTGTATTTGCTATGCTGCAAATACCCTCTTGCCCAGTTAAAGAAGTACTATGAAAGCATCTCTCAAGTTTTTTACTGAACGCCATCATGGCTAAAGAGAGATCGATAAATTTAAGGGAGAAAAATAAATCTTCTACTGCCACCTACTGATATTTTATAGTCAATGATTCTCAAGGGTGCTATAATGACAAACTCCAGATTCAAGCAGAATCTTGATTTTTAAAGCAGGAATAATCTTTGGATTTGTATCTATATTCCTCCAATCAAGAAAATACACACACACACACACACACACACACACATATACACATACACAATAAATTATAGTTATAATAGTCTACATATTTCTAGAAGTAGAAAGTAGAGCTGGACGAGCATATTTTCCTGACTTTCTGATTCACGGACCCATTATACCACACTGCTCCAAAAGGAAGTCCAGGACTACCACATTTCCATTCTTTCCTTCTCCACAAAAGCCGTTCTACTTAGTCCTAGTTCATTAATAAAGATTTGAAAATGAATGGTCTTGGCAGACTTGTCTGCAAAGTATTCACAACTCAAACACTCTAGGTCAGCTATAGAATTTTCCCTCTTAGCTAAAGAACCACAGGCCAAGCCTGCATTTTTTTAAGACTTCTCTAGAGTTGATTTAACCTCCAAAAATGACAATATAACATTGACAGAGGATCCCAAATGAAAGATCCAAGGCTGGAACTGTAATAACTCCTGTTGGCAAGATTCTATAACTGGAGCTATAAACATGACTTTAAAATTTAGATAGGGTGGGAGCCCAACTTACTGTAGTCAGCTTCTTGTTTTGGGGGGTCTAAGAATTTTTTAAAGCCTTAGCTAAAAGGTTTTAAGGGAGATAACTATTCTTAACTCAGAGGGTATTGTTAAATCTAAGTAGATAAAGCATTTTGAAATAAACTATTTTCTATCAATAACATACCAATTCTTCCTGCCAAAAAAGAGCTATGAAAATACTTTTTTAGTTATTTCATGTCACAAGTCATACACTACATGATTTTTCATGCCACATTGTTTCATGTATTCTAAAAATATACTGAAAAACATGGATATGACTAACCGTTTTGTCCAAAATTAATGTTAAGTACAATATGAATCAAAAGTCAGTGCTCCAACATAGAAATCCTGGTTTTGTCTTTCACATCCCTAGACACGAGCAAATTTGTCTGCTAGGACACTGAAGAGCTGTCTGTAATTCTATAGTGCTATAATTAAGTCTTGTACAAATTCTGCTGCCAAAAAATCACCAGAGTGGGTGGTGAATAAAGCCAAGTAAACTCTAATTATGGAAGGCGGGTTTTCTAAGATCTTAGATTCAAGAAGCAAAGGCGAGATCAGACAGCTAAGGCAGGTTACAAAGGCAATATAAATAGCCTTGTGAAATTCAAAGCAAGCCCCTTTGGTAACCACTGCTACTTCTCATAGCTCATAGGGCCTTTAAAAAACCAATCAGAGACCTCTGCTTAGAATCCAGCACTTAATTATTCCCTGAAAAACAGAGTTATGGAATTTACAGTCATTTTCACTCCTAGAACAAAAAAGGGTGACAGAATCCCAATGTTTAAGATAATTTTCCATTTTATATTTCAGCTCCACCACAAACGCTATTTTTTTCAAGTTCTATCCAGAGTTCAATAAATGCACTTTAGCATTCTAAAAAACTGTGCAAATCATGTCTACAGCACAATAAATACACACAAATTCAATACACACATATGACCAGCACCCAATCAATAGAGTATTGTCTGCATTGCAGAAGTGTCTCCCCATCCAGAAAAGTGGGATTTTTTAATTTTATAAAACAATATTAAAAATTATCTCCATAAGAGCATTATATAGAATATTCTTTCTGCCTGGATCTATAATTTCAGCCTTAAAGTAGAAGTGATTATGCTTTTTTTCCTTTGCCTATATAAATGTCTAGGCCCTTTTTAGTCCTTAACAACAAACTGAATTTTCACTCATTTGAGTCCCAGCTCAATATCATCTCCTCTATGAAGACTTTCTTGACCTTCAGAGAAAAATGAAAAAAATGAATTAAGCCTTCATCTATTTTCACAGAGTAGTTTGCAAATGGTCTATGTTCACACATCACACTGAATTAGTTATTTATATGTACATCTACTTTTCTAGACTATGAACACCGTATGGATAGAAAAAGCATCTAATTTCATCTTTTGTTCTGGTTTCTGTGCTTTACACAGTGCTTTAAACTAGATACTTTAAATTGTGTGCTAATAAGTCATTGTTTTTCACACAGTTTCTTCTACCATAGAAAACTGATTTTTCAAAAGAAAATGTTCTATCAAACTATTATAAGAAACAATACATAGTGTCCAGATGCTTTAAAAGTTTATATCATCTTAATGCCCTAAACATAAAGAATTTATAACACAGCATATTTCAAACAGATTAATAAAATGTTAATTTTAATGTATATATAAATTACAAATACATTCAGCATATATTAGCTGACAATAAGATGCTTTGTGATAAGAAGTTTTTTTTTTTGTAAGCGATGATATTAAGGTGCTTCTCTGTAGAAAGAAGCATTTTAGGCCTGATTCTCCTTATATGACTCTCCTGTCCCCATTCTCTTCCACTGCAAAACTAAACAAGTTTATTTCAACTAAGTTGAGATTAAACTTTACTTTTACACTCAGTTCAAGAACCAAAGAAGAAGAAACACAAACATCTCACGATAAATCAAAAATGCCAGCGCTCTCCTACCTGTGTACCTAAGCTGGCTGCCATCATGTGAGTCAGAAGTTTAGCTGCAAACATGGAGTACCTGGCACAGAAGATATGGGAAAGAACAGCCAAGCAAAGACCTGTAGGAACAAAAAAGTCCACATATGGTTTAATAATCCATGAAGATTCTAACAGCATCATAGCAAGAATCTTTGGGGGCAGCTAGGCATGTCAGGTCTGCCACCTGCCTCTGCCCAGTACCTCTGGAAAAGATGACATGGCAATTGTAATCTACTCCATTTTCCATGACAAGTAAGATCTTTACACTTACCAGTTAAGCCCAATATTCAGGCATGTGAATAGGATTTTTCAGTCATAAAATTTTGACTGGTCCTACCAAAACTCAGGTTTGGTAATTACCCCTTTTTTATCTACTAGAAATAGTTCTGTAATTACAATAGTGTTAGTTATGAATTTTAAAGGCAACTTTGCAATACTGGATGCCCAAACCAGGAAGAAAGTGTGCTATTTTCTCCACAATGACTTTTAACTTAAACTTCTACATTTCTAAGTTGTATGAAGAAAATTATTCTTATTATCTTTGAGTTTGTTTGAATTCACCTGTTTACACTACTTCAAAGGGATAGTTAGAACCTTAGCACTAATCCAACAAATCTTTTATCTTGCAATTCATATAAATTTCTTTTAATGTTAGATTTTTAAAGGCAGGGTATACATGTGTTTTAAAAATATTTTCTGCCTTTTAAGACTTAAATGTGCTGCATATGATAACCTATTTGCTTTTTCACTTAAGCTTTTACCCCACTCTTATTCTCAGTAGGGTTATTTTGTCTAAGGATTACTGAAACATAACAGCAATTGACATATGTATACTGCTTTGCCATGTGCTTTGCATTTTTACCCGTTTAGTTATATCAATGCCTCGTTAATAAACAGGAGGCACTGCACTCATTTAACATTTTGTTTTCTTTTGAAGCTGTGGAACAAACTTTCAGAATACACTGCATGTTGGCATAAGTGGACTGGGCATCTGCAAAAGGTCCACATGGGGTCTTGTTACTCATTTTCTCATAACTTCTTTTTGAGAAACCATTTGAGTTATATTTTTAAATTTTAACAAGGTAGACAAGGCTCTCCACAACAAGGGAAGCTTTGCGTTAGTCAAGGCTTTTGGCCTAGAAATTTGGCCAAGAAATCTAGAGCAATCCGTTTTTTGGGAAGGCTTCCATGGGGTGTTCTGGAACAGGTGTGTAGGTCCTGGGTCTGGCTTCAAAATTCACCCACACAAGTACAGAGTGTATCTTCAGGAACTGCAGAGTCATGCTAGATATTGTGCATCTTGACTTAGGTAGTCTATATACTACTGGAGTTGATGCTCAGAACTCAAGTAATGCATACTTTGAATTCCCTAGGATGATAAAAGCCAGCTTAAATTCAAGTCTTAAGTTGAGTGTGTGAATGTGCATGCCTGTGCATGTATGTGTGCATGTGTATGTCTGTGTGTGTGTGTGTGTGTGTGAGTAATATACTGACTTTAAAGCAAGCCTTGCAAGGTTTTTTTCATTTTAAGGCACATGATCACAAATATGTGCTCTGCTGTAAGTTGACTGTGGTAGAGGATGACAATGTGAGGCAAGGAATTAGTGCTCAGCAAGGAGACATACACAAGTCAACTTTTTTCTAGTGCACAAGAAGAGCTTACTTATAGCCTTTTCCTTTAACTTAGTAATGCTCTATTATACTCCTGTTTCATGATATACATTTAGTATACTAAATTTGACCAGCTTAGAAATATTTAATTAAGTATATTAGGCTTCAGTTAAAATGCTAGCATGACACCTGGTGGCAGTTCAGGATTCAAAGCCAGTGGCAGGAAGATAGGTGAGATTCTACCAGCCTATAACTATAACGCATCATAGTTATCTAGATGCGTTTTTTACGTAGGGGAGAATAATATTGATAAAACCTCAAACAGGCTGGGTCCTAGTCTAGGGAAACTCATCTGGCTTGGGTGAGGATATTGAATACCTAAAATTTAAAGAAACAATTATTTCAATTATCAGGTTTCTAAGACACTATATACTAAATACTTATCTTTTATTTTTTCATCTGAAATTAAATAGCTATATTTAACATCTATTTAAACTTAGAAATCTTTTTTTAATTGCAGAAACTTTTTGGTTGAAATTCCTTAATATAAATATGCAAATTACAAAGCATAAAGTGTTATAACTATAAATAGAATGATTTTTTAAAAAATAAAGTATAGCCGGGCATGGTGGCTCAGGCCTGTAATCCCAGCACTTTGGGAGGCCAAGGTGGGCAGATCACGAGGTCAGGAGATCGAGACCATCCTGGCTAACACGGTGAAACCCTGTCTCTACTAAAAATACAAAAAATCAGCCGGGCATGGTGGCACGCACCTGTAGTCCCAGCTACCCGGGAGGCTGAGGCAGGAGAATCGCTTGAATCCTGGAGGCGGAGGTTGCAGTGAGCCAAGATCACACCACTGCAATCCAGCCTGGGTGACAGAGCAAGACTCTGCCTCCAAAAACAAAAACAAAAAAAAAATAGATAAATAAATAAAAATTTTAAAAAATAAAGTATCACAATTCCAGGTATTACTTAAAGGTATACTCTGAACAGTTTTTTTAAAAAACAGATTTCTTGGCAATGATGTAGATAAAACAAGCAGCTAATTGAGTAATTTGCCTTTTCTTTTTTTTCCTACCACTATGTGGATTAGAGATTCGGTTCTAAAAGAACATCTAATTGGTAAAGAACAGCTAAAGTCTTTTATTATCATACTGGACTACAGATTCTCTTATCTATCTCTACAATATTTGAAAGTTTGTATACATATAAACATATGAAATGTTTGTACATAAATTACATATATACATTACATATGTTTATAAACATCTTCATTATTTGGCATCACTTAAGAATGAGAGATACTTTCCAAATAACTTAAGTTTACTCTTTCACAAGACAAGTATTAGTACGTTTTCTCATGAAATTTTCCTTAAAATATTTACAAATTATTTGTTTATCTGTCTGCCTTCTCTACAGATAAATCCAAATAAAACCAAATTATCATTATTTCATTATTAAATCCACTATTAGCTTTTTAGCTTAGGCTTTTTTTTTTTTATTATACCACCTAATGTATTAGATTGGTGCAAAAATAATGATGGTTTTGGCAACAATTTTAATTAATTTTAATTTCAAAAACTGCAATTACTTTTGCACCAACCTAACTGCTGTGCTTGTCACTTTTTGTACTTTTTGTTGCTTATCACTATTGATTCCCATGTTTCTGCAACTCTCTTCTCAGCATAATGCCTTTTGGTTACTGCTACTAATAAGCTAAAGGCACAAAACCCCGTCTCTACCAAAAATACAATATTAGCCGGGCATGGTGGCGGGCACCTGTAATCCCAGCTACTCGAGAGGCTGAGGCAGGAGAAGTGCTTGAACCCTGGAGGTGGAGGTTACAATGAACTGAGATCGTGCCATTGCACTCCAGCCTGGGCAACAAGAGCGAAACTCCGTCTCAAAAAAAAAAAGATTTCTAGTATGAACAAAAGTCAGTACGAAGCATTTTACAGTATAAAAGTTCTGTGTATTAGGGGAAAGGAGTTATTCTAGAGTGGTGAGGTTGCCAGGAGACTAGCCTCCAGATAAACAGGGTGGTTGAACTTAACGCTGTTCAATATAATAGCCACTAGTCACATGTGGGTATTTAAGTTTAAATTTTCATTATTATTATTATTATTTTTTAAGAGACAGGGTCTTGCTCAGTCTCCCAGGCTGGAGTGCAATGGCATGGTCATAGCTCACTGCAGCCTTGAACTCCTGAGCTCAAGCAATCCTCCTGTCTCAGCCACCTGAGTAGCTGGGTCTACAGCATGTGCCATCATGTTTGGCTAATTTTTTTTTTTTTTTTTTTACTTTTTGTACAGACAGGGTCTCGCTATGTTGCCCAGGCTGGTCTCGAACTCCTGGCCTCCCAAAGTGCTGAGATTAAAGGCATGAGTCACAGCACCCAGCCTTAAATTTAAATTTTCATTAATTAAAATGAAATAGACTTAAAAATTCATCTTTGCACTTGTATAAGCCATATTTCAAGGGCTCAGTCACCACTGGTGACTAGTGGCTACCACACTAGACAGTGTAAAATATCCCCATCAACCTGGAAAACTCTATTGGAGAGTGTTGTGTTAAACTATCCTAAGTGAAGGCAAGAAAGAATATGCCACATTTTAAAATAATTTTTTAAATTATCCCGGCACGGTGCCTGTAATCCCAGCTACCCAGGAGGCTGAGGCAGGAGACTCGCTTGAGCCCAGAAGGCGGAAGTTGCAATGAGCCGAGATCACACCACTGCACTCCAGCCTGGGCGACAGAGAGAGACACCATCTCAAAATAAATAAATAAAATAATTTTTATTAAAAATGGCTAGAAAAATATGGTATGGCACTTGAAAGTATGAACTTGACACATAGCAAAAATACATCTCATTATTGGAGGATATCATCAGATCAATACTGTGTATTTATTTACTTAACCAATATCTATTAAAACCTACTGTATGTCAGGCTGGTGTGGTGACTCACAGCTGTAACTCAAGCACTTTAGGAGATTCAGGCAGGAGGATCGCTTGAGGCCAGAAGTTTTAGAGACCAGCCTGAGCAATATAGTAGGAACTCCTGCGCCCACTTGCCTCACTCCCACCATCTCTACAAAACAACCAATGAACTAGTATATGTCAGGGACTGCTGGGCAATGTTCGGAAAGATAAATCCTTGCTGCTCTTTCAGTGCTTGTCTCTCTGTATTTCTATCTGGATCTTCTCCAAGACACAGACTAGTTATGAAAGCACACAGAATATAATTCTGATCAAAAAGACACAAGGGAAAACATTTTGGGTGGCTTTTTAGAAAGTTCTCACTGCTGTTAAAACTGGACTCAAGAGCTTTCCCCCTGGCAAGCCTGGACATTGCTAGTGTGATGCTTAGAGTTGCTAGAGCCAACTTAAGACCATGTACAAACAAAGCTGAGGGAAAAAAATCCTTGAGGATAAAAAGAGAAGAGCCTGGGCTGCTGACAACACCATTAAGGCACTGAATTAGTTAATCTGGGAACTAAATATATTTGTTTAAGATATCTTTGAGTCATCATCTGTTACTTGTAGCCAAATTCATCCCAAATAATATGTCCATATTGGCCAGGCATGGTGGTTCACATTTGTAATCCCAGCACTTTGGGAGGGTGAGGTGGAAAGATCGCTTGAGTCCAGGAGTTTGAGACCAGCCTGGGCAGCATGGCAAAACCCTATCTCTATAAAAAATACAAAAATTTGCCAAGTGTGGTGGTGCTCTGTCTCAAAAAAAAAAGATTACAAGACTATAAGACTTGTATTCAGAGTCAAACTCAATGCAGTAGCATAACCAATAGCCTTATCTTTGATAGTACAATATCAAAAGAGTTATGGGAAGGCAGAGTAGGCTTCCTTGACATCCTCAAAATAGCAATGTGTATCTCAAACCATGCTGAAGTTTCTTAATAATTATACTACAAAATTATGGCTTTATTATGTAATTATTTTGTTATATTTCTCCCAAGCCATCTTTGTGTTGAGTTCCATAATGCTGCACTCTAATGCCCACAGCAATGGATGATTTGTCCTTTCATTTTAACCTCAAGGAATGATCTTAGTTTAATTTTCTGATAGTTGGCAAACTAGTTTACAATTTTAAGTCACAGGTATATGCCCTTTTCTTTCATCTTTCTAAGCTGAGAAGTGGTAAGCTTTTTGGCCTCTACAACTATTTGACACACTTTGATCATTTGGGTAGTTCTGCTCTAGTATAGTAAATAGAACTGCAAACTAGAATTGGTACCGATACATTGTGATCTACTCTGTTTTTTTAAAAAAAGGTTAAATTCCTGTCTAATTGTATACTGCCGTATTTCAGGAAAAGTACTAGCCAAGTTCTATCAAGTTCAGAGTGATATTCAATGTGTCTTGACCTAAATTATAGAATATGTATATAAGATATATAAAGAATATGTATGTAAGATATATAAAATTCTCTTTTCTGGTTCCTGGGGATCCATCAGAGGGATGGGAATTCATCCAGCCCTGAGGGATGAGCTGAAACTGAGGTACAAAGACAAGACTTTGTGTCTCCTTATCGACAGAACATGCAATTACATAACAATATGACATGGACAGAGAGAATAAAATAATTTCAAATATGACTCCAAGTCAAAAGTGATAAAAGCAGATACTAACATTTAGGTGTTGATTCTCAAATACATGAGCAAATCCATGTAGCCTTTTCTAGAGTAAGTTGCAGAAAAGATATACAGGTATTTATTAATGATTCTCCAGGAAACTCATTATATTCAGTCCTACTAGTTTTCTATAAAATCAGGATAACATTCTCTCTTTAGTTTTTAAAACTCCTTTTTTTTTTTATATTCAGTCTTTGGGAACAAGCAAGGGATTTTGTGGGTCATAGCAGCACATAAACCTATGCCTCTATGGAAACATGTAAAATGACATCTAGATTGTATTTCAACATTATATCTTTTGATTTTATTTCATCATTCTATAAAATTTCTTTGCTCTTTAAATACATTAGCATAAAAGTAAAATAGGATGTCTCCATCTGATTTTGGAACTATGTGGACCTAGAAGATTCTATTAAATAAGAAATGTCATCCTTTATGAAAGATATTAAGAATAAGAAGTTATTATCTTGCTATTGAATTGAAGTTAGGTTCAGAATTAAAATACATTAAAGAAAATTTATAACTATATAAAATAAAGTTATATTGGAAAGACTGGCAACCAGAACAAATAGTAATTAATTACTTGATTCTATCTCCAGATAAACTTCCTAAAAGATAATGACTATTAGAGAGACTGTTTGCATACCAAATACAAGAGATATGCATTCAATAATAATCACATTTACAGACAAAATATCACTAAAGCAGAATGTTAGAAATGTCTGACTTCATATATTTATCACCCTGTTACATAGACACAATTTATAATCAAATATCATGGGTGGGAAAAATGAAGTACAGAGAAACTAAGTAATTTGATCCAGGTCCCACAACTAGCTAACAGCATAATTAGGATTTGAACCCAAGCAGTCTGGCTCCAAAGTTTGCATTTTTTAACCATTACCCTATGCCCAGCTCTTAATTTAATTCACTGTATAGCACCTTGTTCATAGAAAAAGTTGTGGGGCTGAAAGAAGAGAATCAGGGCACAGAATGGGTGAGGGTGGGGTATAGAATTATAGTTTAAGGAATTCTCAGATGCCCGACCATATAATTAATACAGCAAATAATAATACTTCTATTGTTATGTTGTTGGGTAAATAGTTTGACAGACATTAATACAATTTAATTTCTTCTTACTGCCAAATATGAGGCCTAGATGTGGAATGTGAAAGATGATTTATTTTTTAACACAGTGGTTGGCATATTCACAACTCTTAAGTTGTAGAATACAAAATCTACCCATGAGGTAGCTTTAAAAACAATAAAAGCACAAAATTCTTTGCATGTATTTTTTTGAAAATTCTTTGTATGTATTATTTAATATCTCACATAGTCCTCACATTGTAACTGCAGTACCTGCCCTCTAAACCATGGTACTGTAAACTATAGCCTTTCCTTACCTATTATCTAGCTTCTATCCTACACTGTATTACATATTCTTTATGGGGTGAAACTGTCTCATTCTTTACTGTATCCTCAGTACAGAGATGGCCCTCCATAAATATTTGTTGAATGAATTAATGACTAAGACAACGAAAAATTTGTATTCTTCTAGTGCTGATGAATTACGGTATGTTTGCATCTTGCATACGTAAAAGGATTATGGGAAAACAGACTTTCATTTTCATAAATATTTATAACCATTGATTCAAAAATACTGTCACTGACCTGAGATACATATAAATCCAGAAGTGAAGAAGGCTTCATTGTATGAAGACAAGTTGTCAGTCCGAGCATAGACAGCATACACAGACATGTGTGAACAGGCACATTCCACATAGTCTGCAGTTTCCTCAACCACTTTGCAAAACTGACTGTCAGACAACCAGCTAGGGCAAAAACACAATAGTCATTTTTCCTCTTTCATCAATACTGAAGGTGTTGAGATGGCTTTTAAAGAAAAATAGCTTACTGAAATTAAGTGTTCTTTGCTCAAGACTTAAGTAGACCACATTTTCAAGAAGAAACAGTGAAGGGAACATCTTGTCCAGGACATGACATGACAGATTCCACAGGATGTCTTAAGAAGCAGCCTAAATACCAACCAAAGCTTTGAAGGCATTCCTGGTACCAAAGGAGCTTGTCCTCTCAACAGGGCAGTACAAATTCCTACCTAATCTAGCAAACCTACCCGACATGCTCAATAGAAGGCACTCTTCTCTACCATTCAAAACTCACACAAGAACAACATGGCTGTGATATGTGTTTACTCTTCTTTGTTTTTTTTCTTCCACAAGTCCTTGTATTTTGAACCATATAAATTACTTGTATGGTTATCTAAGATTTCTTCCTCAATTTTTTTCTACTTTGGAGTGACTTATGTGTATGTTTTCTAAGGTTCTTAAAAGTGTTTCCTTTATGAATTCTGGCTAATTTAGCAGAAAAACCATGTCATAATTTTAGCAAACATTGTATCTGATGCCAAGCCTTCTGAGCCTTCCTCAGTGACTATCACTTGAGCCTCTTCCCTTAAAATGCCTCTTAATTTCTTTACTTTTTTAAGGACCTAAAACTTCCTTACCCAAACTCCAGATGCAGCTTGAAACATTCATTATTAATTATATATTGAAGATTTCAGAGTATTTCTATTTATTAGGTTTAAGATTTGTTTTAAACCTAGGAAGAAATTTCAAGTGGAATTTTTTTAAGAGAAAGAAAGCAGAAATTTCAGTGTTTTTGAGGAAAGTTGGTTACCAAACTAAGCTATTGTATTAAACCTATTTAGAATTTTAGTTTGTGTGGCTGAAATTCAGTAATAAACAAAATCAAGTGGCTGACAGGAACCCTAGACCCTTCTAGGCCAGCACTGCCTGATCCTGCAGCATTGACTGAGCTCCTAGTGACTGTAACTGCTCAGAAATTTGAGGCCTGAGGCCGAGGAGATTCAAAAAAAGAATCATTCTTTCCTTCCCATTTGTGTCCATGGATTTAATCTCAAAATGTACTTCAAGCCATGTGGACTAGAATTATAAATTCCTGCTGATTCTTCTTAAACACAAGGCATCAGTTTCCAGAACCACAAGCCCAGATGGAAAGGGTAAAAGAAGGAATTTCTTTCCTGCCCAATAAATTTACTAGTAACTTCAAGGTTATCAGAATTGAGCAGAATTCATGCCACATCCCGTGAAAGTAGTAAAAATGAAGAAGTAAATAATGTGTTACACACATATTGAAATGCTGGGCTGCATTTGCCATCAGAACAATACTAGACCATTTCCTATGCTGCTTCCTCTTATTTATTGTGGAGGTTATTTTCCAGTCTAATGTCATCTGGGGCCACCATCTATGCTCAGTACAAAACATTAGGCTCAGTGGTACCGAAATGGGGAAGGACCAAATTCTGATTTTTTTATTTTATTAATAAGTACCTTGCAGCAGCCTGATTCCAAAGGAGACACAGAGATGTCTGAGGAATAATTCTAGGCTCAGCAGCATAAATCCTGTAGAGAACCTCATTGTCATTAGTCAGGAGTTGTGAACTCTGACCTTTCACACTCAAAGATAATACCTAGAATGTTAAAAACAGAACATATAATGATGTTTTACAATTGGTGTAATGACTGAGTCTCTTACCCTGAACTTGACTTCATTTTTCTAGTAGCTACAGTCATTTGTTTTCTTTCACTGTTAGTATTTAGCTCACTTATGCATGCAGGACATCTGATTGGTTTTCCATTGTGCCCTTTCTACCCCGCCTTAGCCATTCAGCAGTCTTCAGCTGACAACACTCACTTTGACTCTAACTGGATGACTTCATTAAAAGTTAAGTACGTAATAGTATATTAGTTAAAGCTATATATTTTTTACTTTCCCCACATATATAATATGTATTTTACTCAAAACATGAAGGATATATTTCCAACTCATTTAGAAACTAAACTTTCTACAAATAGTTCATAAAGATGGAACACATTTCATAGTAGTTCACCATGTGTAGCACTTACCAAAACTGTGATCAAACAAATGCATTCCAAGTGTGCCTGCTAAAGAAATAAATCAGATTCCAACCACATAAGTGTTTTGAATGAAAGATTACCTTATTTTTTAGGGTAGGAAGATTGTTTCCACTTATAAACCACTGTTGGCTGCTATACTCTGTAAACTGGACTAATTTACATGTACTTTTCCCAGCCATTATTTCTGCATCCTGGACATCCAGTAGCCTCTCTGGAATTCGAATGTAATCTCCTTCCTTTCCTTCAAACTTGTGTCCATTGATTTGCTGAGGATACCAGTGAAGAGCCAATATTGACAAATATGGGCAACTATCAAGGATGGTTTTGCTTCTACAACAGAAAAGCAAAGGGTCTGTAAAAATGGCATGTATTTGAATACATATATCCACTTATATTTGTTAAAGTGCATTACACTTGGATTCTATTCTTCATGTATAACAATAACACAACAAACCCAGAAGCAGTAAATAGAATGTGCCTTCAGTTCTTTTGTGGATAATTGTCATGATTTTTTGCACAGAATTTTCTGCATCCTCTTGCTTGATCCTCCTAGTAACCTAAAACATGGGTTTTTGAAAACTGTTTTATGGATATCAAGATGAAATCTGTGGCCATAAAGATGAAATCTGTGGCTTTAAAAGTGTGCTTTTCTATGTTAGTCACATCAGCATTGCTGGAATAGGTTGAGAAAAGCATGTCCCCCCACTGAGCTAAAGCCCTTCACTTTATTTAAGAACATCATAAACCTTATATATCCAGGCCCATGTTTTCAACAAGAGTTTACCTCATGCCTTTCTAATCCACCAGAGCCTGCCTAATATAATCTTATTTGACTGATAAGAGAAACAGCACTGAACAGTGATCTTTTTTCACTTAACAAGTCTGTTTTGAAGATCTACTAGGCATAATAAGAGCCTGGGCTCAGTGAAATTGCTTCTAAACCTCAGTGTGCATTGAAATTACTTGGAAGTTTGCTTTAAAGTACAGATTTCTAGATTACATCACAGATTTACTAAATCAGAATCCCTACTGAAGGAGGGGATTAGGGGTTCTAGGAATTTATATTTGTAACCAGTCCCCCAGAGAATCAGATGCATCCTGTTGGCTGACCCATCATGTTTGCAAACAATCAGGAGACACACAGATAAATCAGATCTTAAACCTGCCTGGAAAAGTTGAGAGAATATTAGAATGTTGGGATAAGATTTATGCATTAAATGTTAAAAGTTATATATGTCACAATAGATGTAGAGTATGTACAACTACGTCGTAGATTTACATGATATCTTGTCAAGACCCCAGACGTAGGAAATGGAGCAGAGAATTTTAAACTGAGTCAGGAAAAGAAAGAGTAAGGGCCAACTTTTTCCTGTAGTGGTACATCCTCTCTACAAAAAATCTCCTCTGTAACCTCAGCTACCCTATTTGAATTGGTGCCTTCAAATACCTGAATTGAATCCACTTATTCACCTGGGGCTCTAGGTCCTTTGTCCATGTCTCCTATTGAAACACCTCAATTTGTGTGGACCTCACATACCTCCACCTCCACCATAGCTTGTCAAAATCTCATCTTTTAATCTGAAGTCACCACATCTTCAATGGTGACTCTCAGCCTAAAAGGTGTCACTGCAGACACCCTGACCAGATACAATGTGGAAGAGACCAGTGAACCTCAAACACATGACTCCACATCCCTTTTCCCCTCCCACCCTTTGTCATCTACTGAGACTCAGTCCAGTCAGGGACTCTGTTATCTTGTCAAACTAAGAACATCACCACATGCAGTGACTCTTCCTAAGCTTGATGCAAGCATAACAAATTCCTGACACCTTCTATTTGCTGATAACCATAATTTCCCTGATACCTTATCCTATGACACCTATGTCCCTCAAATGCATTCACCTTGATCAATCCCACAGTCTGCTTTATACCTAAGTTGATATGAGGGGGAAAACTCCCACATTGACATGTAGATTGGCACCACCGCAAATTCACAGTGACCAACCTCAGTTGGACCCTCAGTGCCACCTGGCATTATTTTTACTTGGCTTCCAAGTGATTGTTCTAGATTCCGTCATTCTCCTCAATATCCTTGCTCACTCCCCAAATGCTTAACTCTCAGCAGACTCCCTTAATATTGCTCAAGACAATGTATAAATAATGCATATCAGAATGTTCAGCATCTTTAGGGCTTCCTGAGTAAACAAACTAGTCTTGATCTCTCTCTTATTTTCTGTGTTCAATTTGTCATCTTCATATTAATTCTACCACCTAATTGTTTTCAAGGTACCACCCTCCCATGTCCCTGCCTTAATTTCAGTCCTCATTTTCTTTTACCTGAACAGTAATCCCCTATGTGGTTTTCCTATTTCTTTATTTGCCCTATTCTCTAACCTTTAACACTCTTCTCAACATAATGTCTCTAAAATCCAAAGTCAGATTCATTCTCTCTCTCTCTCTCTCTCTCTCTCTCTCTCTCACACACACACACACACACACACACACACACACCCTACCTAGCTTACTCCATGTTCAATCTTTAAAAAACTGATGAGCTCCCCAAACATACCATGCTAATTCTTGCCTGACTGCCATTGTACATGCTGTTTCCTCTTCCTGGACAACTCAAAAGGAAAGGTAAGTCTATTTAGTGGAAGCGTATGGCAGAAAACATGTTGATTCATTTACTCATTCTACTCCCTCATTTTATTGTAACCATTGAAAATCCACCACATACCAGACATTGTTCTAGGCCCAGTGAATACAGCATTCAACAAAACAAAACAGAAAAGGCCACTCTTTCTGTGCATCTTATAAGCTCTTGAGTTTTCACTGGGCCCTTGAAGGCATAGATATGGGACTCAACATGCACAGCAAGGTAGATGGTTCACATCTAAGACAACCTTGTGATTTTAACATGCTGGTGATCTTATAGAGATATAGGGAAAATGGAAAAGAAGAATGAGATTGTGGGGATTGCAAAGCTATGAACTGCTTGATTTCATTGAACAAAATAGTTGAACATAGTTCAACAGGGGAAAACAATAACAGGTATTCTTGACTACACACACACACAAATGCATACTGTGGCCTCACTTAGTGCAAACTTACTTGAAGCAAATAAATGATCCATTTCAGAGGTTTCTGAAGACAGCATTAGAGACATTTATAAGAGGCACTAAGGAGCTGAACTGTTAATCATTGGTCTCAGATGGACATTTAGGAGCAGTGGTGAGGATTGGAGAATCCTTTCAAAAGCCCCATGTGAGGCTTTTCTGATTTTGCACATTAAGAAAAAACCTCAATTTCCAGGACTCACTCATCAAAATTAAAGGAAAAGTAGAGTATAGGGATATGTTGATTCTGTACCTTTACCTCAAGTCACACCCTAGCACTGATCTGGGATGAAAGTATAGGGCACTTCAGAGCCATGGGCTGGAGGGGGCAGATTTTGCTATGAAGTAGGTGGTTACAATCTATTCTGACCACAGGTGTCCAGCAGGGGCTGTAGACTCAAGTAAGTCTGGGGTTGAGTCCAGGCCTCTCCATGAACTAATTGTGTGACCCTTGGCAAGCTGTGTAAGATTTCTAGCCTTAGTGTCTACATCTGTAAATAGGGGTATTAAAAGCCCTCACTCAAATCCTGAATAGCTACTTAAAATGATCTCTGTAAGGACAAAACAATATGTACAACTTTTAGCAAGGATTAGGTTGAACCACATGGAAATTTCATTATACTGTTTTTACCTATTAACAAAGGCAATCGATATTGTTCAATTTAAATCAATGTCAGGACTATAGCAGAGGTATAATTAATATCATTTGTATCATTATTATTTTATTCCTTGTTCTTATAACTTTTTTCTATCTGGATTGACTATCTCTTTGAACTTCGTATGTCTTGTGACCTAGGAACTAACATTGGGCTGGGCACAGTGGCTCACGCTTGTAATCCCAGCATTTTGGGAAGCCAAGACAGGTGGATCGCTTGAGCCCAGGAGTTCAAGACCAGCCTGAGCAACATGGTGAAATTCTATCTCTACAAAAAATACAAAAATAAGCCAGGTGTGGTGGTGCACGCCTCTGGTCCCAGCTATTAGGGAGGTTGAGGTGAGAGAATCACCCAAGCCTAGGAGGCGGAGGTTGAAGTGAGCCGAGACCCCGCCATTGCACTCCAGCCTGGGCGACAAGAGCGAAACTCCATCTAAAAAAATATATATATAGTTAATATAGAGGTAATTAGTATAGTACCTATAGCATAGAGGTATGTTAACATATAGTTATAAAATTAATTATGTAGTTAATAATGAACATGAGCCACATTTTATTTTTTCCTTTTCCTCTTGCTAGCTTTCCGACAACTAGTCTGAAGTTCAACAACAGTCTGAGAGTTGTCTCCAAATGGACAGAACAATCACAGTTGTTTGTGATTGGGGAAAGCACAATTAATAACACATCAAAACACTCCTAAAGGCTGTAATCTCTCTTTTTTTTTCTATTCAGAATGTATCTTTCACTCATTAAATAAATAAGAGTAAACAGTAAGGCTTTTGTTATTTTCAAAAAACACTTCAAAATAAGTGGAATATATTGTTGACAGTATACATTTATTTTTTTGATGTACCTGCTATGTTTCCTTCAAATAATTAACTTCAACTTTCCAAGTGGTACAATGCATTGACTGTATCATTCTTAGTTACATCATCTAAATGTCATTTTGCATTACATATTGCTTTGTAAACAGTGAAAAAAATGCATAAAAGGTACTGCTAATATATTAAAAGATACTTACTTTTCACCAGGAGAGCCGCAAGTAACATTAGTCAGCAGAGAAAAGGCAAAATTCTCAGTCACTTCAGCAAAGTGACTGAATCCCCTAGTGTCCTTGCGCTTTGGGTTAATAAGAGAACAAAGAATCTCATAGAAAAGAGTTCGGCTGGCAACACTGAAAGCTTGAATTTTTCCTTCAGTAGTTATCTGGAAAAAGAATCTAAGTATAAAAATATATCTATAAAAATAAATTTCTTAAATTATATGCTATACATATATGTGTGTGTGTTCCTTATTAATAGTTATTAACATTAGTAAGGATAAACCTATGAAAACTTAAGAGAAATTGGTATCAAAATTATATTTCAAATATATATATTTGCAGTTGAAAAGGCATAAGTAATCATCTATAAAGAAAAGGCATAATCACCAAAATATTTTCTACTTAATCATTAGATAAAGTCCTAAATGCCTGCACAGATTATTTAATTTTAACTACAATAATTAACATCATGAGTTAAAATTAGTCTCACTTTTACATCTACCCTAGGGATTCTTATTCTTTTGACCAACAAATAAGGAAATAAATACCTCAAGAATATTTGTTTATAATAGTGGCAAAATTATTTTTTTCCAGTAAACAGAAGCTACCATAATCACTAAATATTTAAAGCACCAAATGAGAAAATCCTTTTCAAGATTAGTCAAGAGCTTTTGCCTTTTTCAGTAAGTATGACCCTTCCTACTAAAAAAAAACTGGGTTATTTGTTTTTTTGAGAGACAGGGGAAAAAAGGAGGAAAAATCCAAAATGACGGGGGACTGAGAGGTGACAGCGTGCTGGCAGCCCTCACAGCCCTCGCTCACTCTCGGTGCCTCCTCGGCCTTGGTGCCCACTCTGGCCGCGCTTGAGGAGCCCTTCAGCCCACCGCTGCACTGTGGGAGCCCCTTTCTGGGCTGGCCGAGGCGGGAACCGGCTCCCTCAGCTTGCAGGGAGGTGTGGAGGGAGAGGCGGGAACCAGGGCGGGAACCAGGGCCAGCGCGAGTTCCGGGTGGGCGTGGGCTCAGTGGGCCCCGCATTCAGCGGCCAGCCAGCCCTGCCAGCCCCGGGCAGTGAGGGGCTTAGCACCTTGGCCAGCAGCTGCCGTGCTCGACTTCTTGCCGGGCCTTAGCTGCCTCCCTGCGGGGCAGGGCTCGGGACCTGCAGCCCACCATGCCTGAGCCTCCCCCCACCACCGTGGGCTCCTGAGCAGCCCAAGCCTCCCTGACAAGCACCTCCCCCTGCTCCAGGGCACCCAGTCCCATCAACCGCCCAAGGGCTGAGGAGTGTGGGCACACAGCGCAGGACTGGCAGGCAGCTCCACCTGCAGCCCTGGTGCGGGATCCACTGGGTGAAGCCAGCTGGGCTCCTGAGTCTGGTGGGGACTTGGAGAATATGTCTAGCTAAGGGATTGTAAATACACCAATCGGCACTCTGTATCTAGCTCAAGGTTTATAAACACACCAATCAGCACCCTGTGTCTAGCTCAGGGTTTGTGAATGCACCAATAGGCACTCTGTATCTAGTTAATCTGGTGGGGACTTGGAGATCTTTATGTCTAGCTAAGGGATTGTAAATACACCAATCAGCACTCTGTATCTAGCTCAAGGTTTGTAAACACACCAATCAGCACCCTGTGTCTAGCTCAGGGTTTGTGAATGCACCAATTGGCACTCTGTATCTAGTTAATCTGGTGGGGGCTTGGAGAACCTTTATGTCTAGCTAAGGGATTGTGAAGGCATGAATCAGCACTCTGTATCTAGCTCAAGGTTTGTAAGTGCACCAATCAGCACTCTGTGTCTAGCTCAGGGTTTGTAAATACACCAATTGACACTCTGTATCTAGCTAATCTAGTGGGGACATGGAGAACTTTTGTGTCTAGCTCAGGGATTATAAATGCACCAGTCAGCACCCTGTCAAAATGGACCAATCAGCGCTCTGTAAAACAGACCAATCGGCTCTCTGTAAAACGGACCAATCAGCAGGATGTGGGTGGGGCCAGATAAGAGAATAAAAGCAGGCTGCCTGAGCCAGCAGTGGCAACCTGCTCGGGTCCCCTTGCACACTATGGAAGCTTTATTCTTCCGCTCTTTGCAATAAATCTTGCTACTGCTCACTCTTTGGGTCCACACTGCCTTTACGAGCTGTAACACTCACTGCGAAGGTCTGCAGCTTCACTCCTGAGCCCGCAAGACCACAAACTCACCAGAAGGAAGAAACTCTGAACACATCCGAACCTCAGAAGGAACAAACTCCAGACACGCCGCCTTTAAGAACTGTAACACTCACTGCGAGGGTCCACGGCTTCATTCTTGAAGTCAGTGAGACCAAGAACCCACCAATTCCGGACACAGGACCACATCTTTATCGTTTAAGCATTGGTGTGAAGCCACTTACTCCATTACCTTCTGATAAGTCCCTATTACTTCCTCAAACTCTAAAAGTCATCACTTTCTCTATGATTCTTACACTATGCCCCATCTACCAACCTACATTATCACTCTCTTTGTAACTTGCATGTAACTTTATCAGTGAACTTATGACAACCTTGAAATGATTTATCTGTTTCAAGCTCTATGATTCTTACACTATGCCCCATCTACCAACCTACATTATCACTCTCTTTGTAACTTACATGTAACTTTATCAGTGAACTTATGACAACCTTGAAATGATTTATCTGTTTCAAGCTCATCGTGAAAGTGGATCATGTTCCTCATTTTTTTATGACTTTGTAATCTAGTACAGTTCCAAGCTCATGGTAGAGCTCAAGATTGGCATTTATAAGAATAGTCATCTCCCACATAGTAAGGCAGAGTGGAGAATAACCCACAGGGAAATGTAAAAGACACAGAATAAAAATTTAGCAATGCAAAAATTACAAATGGAGACAGAGCACAACCACTGGATACTGAAACAAGCAAACTGAATATGATAAATGGAAACAAGCTCAAGAAAATCTCCCAGAACTCAGAGAAAAGATAACAGGCTAGTAGGACAAATCTTGACAAATCCCTAAGATATAATTCTATATATAAAAGAGCAGGCAGAGGCAAAAAATAACACAGCTCCTTAAAATGCTGAAGAATATTCATGTCTAAAAATGTAGAGATTGCTTTTATACTAGGGAAAATTAGAAAAAGAGACAACACCAGATATATTTGGGTGATTTTAAAAAATATTATTTCAAGAGTAAAAAAAAAATCATACCAGAAACCAGACAGGAAAAAAATTACCAACAGAAAAACAAAAATTTAGTTTAACTTCCGACTTTTCTAAAAATGAAATGTCAGAAGCCAGCCAAGCAATATGTTCAGAATTGTAAGAATTAAAGGCTGTGATCCAGGCATTCTATGGCTACCCACACTTTCATTCATATTAAAAAAAAACAAAGTTTCTTTTAGTAAAGCACACAAAACTGAAACAAAAAGGCCATTTCTATAATACTCAGTTAGTACAGGGACCTTGTAGTTTTCAGCACTTTCTAGCAACTACTCTTCACAACAACCTGTGAGGAAGGTCCTATTGTCTTTGTTTCCAGTTAGGGAAACTAAGGCAGAAGGAGGATGACTAACTTGTTCTTTTTGTTTGCGCACAATTGTGTTCGCACACAGTTGGTGACCACGAAGCCTAGGAGGTGCTCCTGACAGCCGCCCTACACTGCCTGGCAACACTCCCCACTTGCTTGTGCCAAAGCAACCACCTGGACTGACTCAGTTCACAGACAAGTCAGTCAAAATTACCTCGAGCATGAAATACAAAACCAGCCAGTAAAATACAGAGTTAACTCAAAATCCTTGTTAGTATGATTACAAAATAAATCAAGTGTAAAAACTAATTCTTGAAATATAAGGTATCTGTTATTAAAAAGTATATGATGAAAAGAAACAGGCTGGCTCCACAAGGCCAGTTTACACAAACAACAAAAGAACTCCCAACATTATTAAAATTGCCTTACGAACAAGTAGAAGACCTGAATCAACCATGGAAAAAACTTAAGAAGTTGTCAGGATAGAAGACAAAGACGGAGGCCTTTGGAGGTAGGGGATAGTCTATCAAACTTTTACAGAACTAATTATTCCTGTGCTCTTTCAAGTGTTTCAGAACAAAAAATTAGAGTCAACACCTCCTGATGGGCTTTGCCAAGCTTTGATAACGACAAAATCAAAACCTGACGAAATTGAAAGTTAGCATATCAGATTCAGGGGGGTTTTAGACTGCTCTTGCTATTAAGACGACTAAGAGCTTTTAAAATATTTTTTATTTCACTATGCCTGGGAAAATCAGGGGATAGAATATTCTGTCATAGCAAAAATTTGCCTGAACCCACAGCTGGATTTCATACAGAAAGTCTTTATAGTGAGGCATTTAAAGCTGATGCTCTTTTTTAGTATAATACTTGTGCCACTTCTAGCATGTGTAATAATATTACTTAAGATTTATTGAGATCTTTTAAAAGAAATACATTGTATATAATAGATTTTGTTTCAAAGAACTTAGAATGTGGGGGAAAATAAAATTTAAAAATGTAAAACAATTTCACTTAAAATATAATATCTTACAGAATGAAGTACCTTCCAGTACTTGGAAGTTCTATTCTGTCCTTTTTAATATGAGGTTATTTTAGAGTGTATATAATTTCATATGGCATATATAAATGGTTTGCCAGGTAAAGTACAAATGACCTTATTTGAATTTTAGACAGGCAACAATAACTTTTTGGTATAAATATGTCCCAAATAAGTATCTGCAATATGCTTATACTAAAAAATGTATTTGTGGTTTATCTGAAATTCAAACTTAACTGAGCATTCCTTCTTTTTATTTGGTAAATTTTGCCACCTTATCTTTATGTGATAATCCAAATTTTCAGTTCTTGTTTTATTATTCTCATTATTATTGCTATGCTTAAAATATAAAATATGTATTTCTTGCACTTTTAAATACATTTCATGCATTCATTTAGTCAGGCCCCTCATAATGGCTATCGTTTTTCCCAGTTTTTATCGTTATAAGAAGTAATGCTGAAATAAACATTCTCATCACACGTGTATTTGCAAAAATGTTCCCCACACTCATTAGTTGTGTTTTCACTTTGCTTTGGTGTATGCTAAGAGAAATTTTATTTAAACTGTATGTGGTCAAGTTATCAGTCATTTCCTTTGTGGCTTCTGGGTTTTGTCTGAGGCTTTGGAAAGATCTTCCCCATTCTAAACTAAAACGATGAAATGACTGATCCACGTTTTCTGCTACTTTCATGGTTTCAGTTTTTCACTGAAATATTTGATCTGTCTAGAATTTATTGGGGGTAGAATTTAGGATAAGGTTCAGCTCTATTTTGCTTTCAAATGGTTACATCAGCCATCCAACACTATTTGCTGAATAATATTTTCGACCCATTGATTTTTAAATAGCACTTTATCACATATAAAATTTTCATCTATGCTTCAGTTTTTGAACTTTTTGTTCTATTCCATTGATGTGAATGTTTATGTCTGCACCGGTGCCCCTTTAATCACAGTAACACCATATTTCAAATATGTTTTCATATCTGCTAGGGCAAGGTCCCTCTCCTTTTTTCTTCTTTTTCAGGAAAGTTCTGCCCATTTTCACATGTTTACATTTCCAGGTAAACTTTAGTATCATTTTATCAATGTAAAAATAACCCCAAAACAACCTAATGATATATTGATAGGAATTACGATTCATTTATAGGTTAATTTACAGAAAACTGTTGTGTCCATATATTGAATCTTCTTATTGCAGAACAAGGTATGAATTTCCATTTACTGAAGTCTATGTTAGTAGAATTTTTGTTTTCTTTATATATTTTCTGTATGTACATATGTAATATATATTTCTATAATTATTAAATAAGTCAGTTAAATCAACAGATTTCAGTATTGATGTACATATAAAAAAGGAATTTGAGAGTACATTATATCATACTATTTTTAAAAAAGTAGTGACAATAACTTGATTTGAAAATAACCAGAGCAAAGAAGGCTTTGGCTGAAATAAAATACTAGTCATTTTCTTTTAAGAATTCAAATGATGTTTTCTACTTGATTTTACAATTTTTTTTTTTGAGATGGAGTCTTGCTCTGTTGCCCAGGCTGGAGAGCAGTGGCACCATCTCGGCTCACTGCAACCTCCACCTCCTGGGTTCAAGCGATTCTCCTGCCTCAGCCTCCCAAATAGCTGGGACTACAGGCATGTGCCACCATGCCCGGCTAATTTTTGTATTTTTAGTAGAGACAGGGTTTCACATGTTGGCCACGGTGGTCTTGAACTCCTGACCTCAAGTGATCTGCCTGCCTCCGCCTCCCAATCCCGCCTCCGCTGGGATTACAGGCAATATTTTACAATATTACAATATTTTTATAACATTTAAAATATATTTTATCCCTCCAAGTATTCCCAGGTTATTTATTTAAGTATCTTCATATATGAGAAAATTGTACTGTTTGCTAATGGTTACTCAAAAAAAGTTAATTACATTTTCCCATAGGAGCTACTTTTATAATTCCATTGTATTATTCACGATAGTACTAGTAACAGTCAAGATGTACTATCTGACAACTCTACTGAAATAAGTGTTGATTCTTAACCAATAATAACTTGGTTAACATACATAACTTATTGAGAACAAAAAGTAGCAGAATTTCCATATATTTTCCCTAAATCATATGAAGTGAGGTCCTGTTTCCTTCCCTAAAATGTAATTACTGGACATTCTTTCTCTTTCCCTGGCCAAAAACAACTTGGCATTGTCCTACGCCATTGGGCCATTAGAAAATTCAAGTAATAATATTTTGTGGAGTGAGTTTTTACTGCAGAATTTTCTCTGCATGAAATAGCAATCGCTTCCCTTTGCTTTATAAGATGTTTGCCATGGCCTGCTCTTTTTACCTCTGTACTTTATAATTTTCTTTTCTATCTTTCAAGCATTGTATTTTAAGAGATACCACTGGATGGAAAGTATGCACGACTATCTAAAACCCCATTGTTAACATCTAAAGTATTTTAAGGTCATTATGTAAGAGATGTAGTAATTATACATTCATGGGTATGTACTCAAAACATTCAGTTCTTGTATATAAATATATTGATAGGAAATATCTTGATAAGAAAGCCCAAAGTAAACCTCCAAAGGAGGCTTTTTTTTTAAGTAATAACTTTATAGATATCTTTCAAAATTTATATTCTTAGGCTCTCACATCTCCATTTAATTCCATCATTTGCAGAGTTGTAAGTAAATAGGTTTAAAATAAAATCTGTTTTGTACAAGTATATACCAAATGGAATGTCTGAAATTATCTAGTCATTTCTTAATTTTTCTTTTCTGTGAAAGTTTTCAGTGCCCGTGAGGACTAAAGAACAAGCAGAGGGTGATAATTTCTATTCCATGGCATTTAAACTGGAAGGACTATGTAGATAATCTAGCTCAAGTCCTTTTTCTTAATGGACTAAAAAAACTGAGGCTCAAACTACAAAGTTAATTGGCCAGTTTCTGGAGAGTCGCCAACTGCCTATAGCTCCCAACCTCTGGAGCCTTTTTTTTCATGCACTAGGCTGTCTTTACTACTGCACTAGGTCATTCTCCAAGCCTAAGACTGAGATTTCCAAAGAGGCATCAGTCATATCCAAGGAAGAGGACAGTGTCAGATATGATGCATTCTATTCCTATGTTCAGAAATCTAAATTTATCATAATTTCATAATAACCAATGTTAAAAGAGAATGTGATTTTGGTTTTACTTGGGTTTTTAAATTTACAAAATTTCACTAAACAAATTACTAATATTCACAAAAACTTACCTTTTCTATTAAATGCATCATGGCACTGAGTTGTTCATCTGTGTTTTCTGTGGCCACTTTCATGCTGATGGTATGGAGCACTCTGTTGAGAATATCATCATTCACAGGCTGATGTAGCTGATCTGCAAGCCCCCAAATGGCCTGCGAATCTGCATCTGAGACAAGAGTGATGTTGGCAGTCCCATACACTTTATCAATTCTGGCACCACCTTTTGGGTCAAAAAGGACAATCTGGAAGCGTTTAGGAAATGAATTTAAAGATCCTGTCTCTGGCGTTAGGATGACATCCAATACAGTGCTTCTCTGGCCAGGTTCAAAGACCAATGTGCCTTCAGTTATCACAAAATCCTTTCCAGAAATAGCTGGAGATATGATGGTACGACCAATTGTTTCAGCACTCCTCAACTCCTAGAAATTAAACAACACCATTTAAGTGAATCTATGACACCTCTGATCTTGTCCTAAACAAATTCTTGTTTCTTAAACAAATTCAATTTCTCTTAAACAAACTGAAGGGCAATGATGATGACAGTACTACCTAAAGATGGGGTTTTATACTTTTCATAATCTGCTAAGATAAATTAGAGAGATAAATACATAACATACAGTGATGAGATTAGGAAAGAGATGCCTTCAAATGGACCAAGGAAGCAAATTAGACCAGAAATGTCACTCTTGCCTCCATTTCTCCAATTGTGATTGAAAATCGTGCTTCAAATAACACATGTGGTAAAATATAAGTATGCAGGAAAAGGAGGAATATTTATATTTTCACTGTCACATAGAAATTTTGGGGGGCAGGCTGGGGAGAGTAGAGAGAAGGCAGAGGGGAGGAAAGCAGAAGTAGAAGAAATTGGTTTCATGTTTACACTCAAATATGGAAATATCCTAAGGAGTAGGGTCCTGGACATATATACCTCTGCTCTTCTTCAAATTATGGTTATTGAAAAGTTTTCTTGGAAAAAGTGTTTTGGAACGTGAAGCATGAACACTTTAGTCAAGGAAGAATCAAAGGAATGTGCATTTATTTACTACTGAGCCAAGAACTATTAAACTCCTAGTACAAGCCAAGTGACATACAATGGATATAGATTTGAACAGCAGAATACCTGCACTCATAGAACCTACTATTCTAGCAGAGGATACAGGTTGTACAAGGGTTGTGGAATTAATGATAGATTTTTACCTGAAGACAAGTTCTATGAAGAAAAATAAAAGTAGGTAAGGGAATGCACGGTGATGGAAAGGGTAGCATTTTATATAAAACTGGACATAGAAGCTCTTGTGATATTTGAACAGAGACTGCAAGGAAATAAATGAATAGGCTACATAAGGATCTTGGGAAATATTCTAGGCAGAAAGAATAATTACAAAGGCACTGGAGATGGGAACCATCTTAGTCTGTTCAAGGAAGAACCTAAGGCCAATGTGACTAGAAGGAGAGTGCTGGATGCTGCTGTAAGAGAGGTGGAGGCTGGGTGTGGTGACTCACACCTGTAAACCCAGCACTTTGGGAGGCTGAGGTGGGTGGATCACAAGGTCAGGAGATCAAGACCATCCTGGCTAACACGGTGAAACCCCATCTCTACTAAAAATACAAAAAATTAGCCGGGCATGGTGGCAAGCACCTGTAATTCCAACTACTGGGGACGCTGCGGCAGGAGAATCGCTTGAATCCGGGAGGCAGACGTTGCAGTGAGCTGAGATTATGCCACTGCACTCCAGCCTGGGCAATAGAGTGAGACTCCATCTCAAAACAAAAAACAAAACAAAAAACAAAAACAAAAAACAGAGAGGTAGATAGGAGTCAGATCATGTAGGCATGTAGGTTCATTATTCAAAATGTGGCAGGAAGACCCTAGAGGATTCAAGCAAGAGAATGACACATTTTATTTATCATTATTCATGAGTGTTCTGGCTATTGTGTATATTAGGATATAGTAGGGAATGAGCATGGAGGTTTTTGCATTCGTTCATGCAAGAAACAGTGGTAGAATAAATAGGGTCACATGAATAGAAATACTCAGACTAGAAATACACATGAGTAGAAGCACTCAGACTAGAAATATATTTAAATGTAGAGTCAATAGGACTTTTTTGTTTGTTTCATTTTGGGTTTTTTTTCGAGATGAGGGTCTCGCTATATCAACAAGGCTGGTATCCAACTCCTGGGCTTAAGAGATTCTCCTAAGTATCTGGGACTACAGGCTTGCACCACTACGCTCAGCTTAGAGTCAATAGAACTTTCTGATGAATTTGATATTGGGTGGAAGGAAGAGGAGAAGTGAAGGTAACTCCTAGCTGCTTGCCTAGATGAATGGGTAAATGGATAATGAATGGTGGAAAACTGGGGAAAATATTGTTAAGGGACAAATCAAGAGTTATCTGTTATACATAGTAAGTCTGAGATGCCTCTTAGACATTCAAGTGACGACATCACGTAAGAGCAATCAGATACATGGGTCTGGATCAGGAGAGGTGATGAGGTTAGTGATAAAAATGTGGAAGTCCTCAGTGTACAGATGATATTTAATAAACAGTTCTATATAGTCTAGCCTGGAGATTGATTCTTGGTGGATCCCAACATTTACTGGCTAGGAAGACCAACATAGCCAACAGGAAGGAGCTCCAAGTGAGGTAAGGATTAAGAGCAGGAAGGTGTGTTATTACAAAAGCCCAAAGAAGAGCATTCTTCAGGAAGGAGGAAGTGATTGATTGTGTCAAAAAATGAAAAAAAAAATCAATGAATGCTTTTTAAGAGCATCTGCAGTGTAACGATAAAATAAAAAGCCTTACTGAAGGAAATAACTCAAAAATCTAATGGCTTTAGAATGGATACATTAAAATATTCCCTGAAATACTATATAACAGTTAAAATGAAAGGATTTCAAGTACACACATCAGCATGGATAGTTCACAGACATATGATTGAACAAAACAGGGACCATAGAACAATACAATTGGATTAATTTCATTTGCACAATTTCCAAAACAGGTAAACCCAAATAATATATAAGAATAGAACTACTTAAAAAGAATATGAATAATTTAACATAAAATTCAAGATATAAATTATCTGCAAGGTGGGGATAGTCAAGGAAAAAGCAAGATGGCATCAGAGGGGTTCATAATGGAAAGTTTTATACTAAAATTCAGATAAAGTTAAATTTCTGAAACAAGGTGGTAGTGATTTGATTACTAAAAACTGTATGTATACATTTGGCCCACTGTTTTTTCGCAGGATTTATTTCATAGTTCAAATATTTAAAGGAAATGAAACAATCAAAATGTTCTTGTGTTTATAAAATACATATAATAAACACAAAGAAGAATTATGCAATTTAAAAGTGACAATGGGGAGGCCAAGGCAGGTGGATCACTTGAGGTCAGGAGCTCAAGACCAGCCTGGCCAACATGGTGAAATGTCACCTCTATAAAAATACAAAAACTAGCCGGTCATGATGGTGGGTGCCTGTAATCGCAGTTACTCGAGAGACTGAGCCGGGAGAATAGCTTGAACCCAGGAGGCAGAGGTTGCAGTGAGCCAAGATCGCACCATTGCACTCCAGCCAGGGCGACAGGGCAAGACTCCATCTCAAAAAAAAAAAGAAAAAAAAAAAGAAAATCAATATAGAAATAGTCTTTGAATGGAATAGGCAACGTGAAAATAAGGAAAACACATGGTCTTTCTTGAACTTGTGTGCTTTCAGCTAGCACACATATATAAAAGAAAGTATTTGGAATCAGTTTCAAATTTGTTTTTAGCTATAGGTCTATTTAACTGAAAGATAACTAGAATAATAGATGTCTTTATTGTCTCAAATAGGAAGGACCAGAAATTCCTTCTTAACTTTATATCACAAACTTAGATATAAGCCACAGATGCTAAGGCTACAGTACTTACGTACATGGGAATGCTGGTCTACCAAAGGGTATCTATGTTACAATGACTGTTTTAATTGCATTAATCTATTTAAAGTAAAATGAAAATCAATATCATAACAGAATAACAACTTGATCCATAATTATTTTCTCATTCATGCCAGCTACTGGAAAAGAGAATTGTATGTCTCTGTCTTCTAGTAATATGCCTAGCACTTAGAGAACAACACAAGGGCAATTAAGCAACAGGAAAATAAAATAATACCAGAGAGGTGAAACTGTCATTTCCAATTGTTTAAACTTTTATTCTGACATAATTGCAGATTTACATGCAGTTATAAGAAATAATAAAGGAGATTTCCTACACCCTTTACCCAAACTCCTTCATTAGTAACATTTTGCATGACTGTAATATAATATTACAACCAGGATTTTGTTATTGATACAGTCAAGAGACAGAACATTTTCATCCCCATAAGAATTCTGCATGTTAACTTCTACAGCTACACTCGTGTCACCCCAGCCCATTCCCTCCTTAATCTCTGGCAACCACCAATTTCTTTTCCATTCCTATAATTTTGTAATTTCAATAATATTATAGAAATGGAATCATACAGTACATAATCTTTTGGTATCAGCTTTTTTTTTTACTTAGTATGATTATATGGAGATTAGGTTGTTATGTGTATCAATAGTATGTTTCTTATTATTAGTGAGGAGTGTTCCATACATGGATATACCACAGTTTAACTATTCACCCATTGAAGGACACCTGAATTGTTTCTACTTTGGGGCTATTATTAATAAGCTACTATAAATGTTCATGTGCAAGTTTTTGTGTGAACATAAGTTTTCATTTATCAGGAATAAATGTCCAGGACTGCAACTCCTGAGTCATAAGGTAGTTCATGTTTAATTCTTGAAGAAACTTCTAAACTGTTTTCCAGAGTGGCTTACCATTTTGCATCCCATCAGCAATGAATAAGTGATCCAGTCTCTGTGAATTCTCACCAGCATTTGGTATTGTCATGGATTTTATTTTAGCCATTCTGGTAGGCATCTAGTGATATCCCACTGTGGTTTCATTTTGCTAATAGCTAATGGTGTTGAACATCATTTTATATGCTTATTCTTCATCTGTACATCCTTTCTGGTGAAATCTACTTTTGTTTATTGTGTTCTTTCTTCCTTCCTGATGTTCCAAAGTTCTTTCCTTTTTATCATTCCCTTTCTGTTTAAAGATCTTTCTTTAGCCATTCTTTCAGGGTAGGTCTGTGTGCAACAAATTCTTAGTTTTTCCTTCATCTGGGAATATCTTAATTTCCTCTTCACTTGTGAAAGATATGTTCACTGGATATAGAATTTAGGGCTGGAGGGTCTTTTCTTTTGGCACTTGAAAAATAGCGTGCCATTTCCACCTGGGACCCATGGTTTTCCATGAGAAATCTCCTGTCATTCCGATTGCTTTTGCCCTAAAGATAAGGTACTTTTCTTTCTCAGTTCTTTCAATATTTTTCTTGCCTTTATTTTTATTAGTTAGACTATGATATATGTTATGCAGTGGTCACCATGGGCCTTGGGTGAGACCCCCAGTGCTGTGCTAGCTTCAGGTCTGATCTAGCACAATCCCAGTGGCAGTGACCACAAGAGTCCTTGAATCAACCCTCTGGCAGCTCCAGGAAGTTCAGCACAGACACAGAGGATCCTTTTGTTTAGGAGAAAGTAAGGGAAGAAAACAAGAGTCTCTGCCTGATAATCCAGGGAATTTTCCCAGATCTTATCCAAGACCACCAATGCAGTACTTCTAGGAGTCTGCAAGAGCAACAGCATTACTGGGCTTGGGATGCCCCCTAATGCAGATATGGCTGCAATAACCAAAAATTTAGATCACAGCACCCAAGCCTCTTCAAATATCTGGAAAAACTTCCCAAGAAGGATGGGTAAAAATAAGCCCAGATTGTGAAGACTACAATAAATACCTAAGTCTTCAATGTCCAGATATTGACAAATATCCGCAAGCATCAAGACCATCCAGGAAAACATGACATCGCAAAACAATTGAAGAAGACACAAAATGCAGATATTTCATGTTCACGGATTGGAAGAATAAGAAAGAAAGAAGGAAAGAAAGGAAGTAAGGAAGGAAGGAAGGAGAAAGAAAAAGAAAGAAAGAAAGAAAGAAGGAAAGAGAAAGAAAAAGAAAGAGAAAGAAAGAAAAAAGAAAGAAAGAGAAAGAAAGAAAATAGGCAGAGGAAACAAAAGAAAAAAGAATAAAAATGAAACATGCATACAAGATCTATAAATATCATCCAAAGGCCAACTCCAAGAGGTATTGGCCTTAAAGGGGATGTAAAGAGAGAGATAGAAGGAGAAAGTTTATTCAAAGGGTTAATAATGAGAACTTCCCAAACGTAGAGAAAGATATCAGTATTCAAGTACAAGAAGGTTACAGAATACCAAGCAGATTTAACCCAAAGAAGGCTACCTCAAGGCATTTAATAATCAAACTCCCAAAGGTTAAGGATTTAAAAAAAAAAAAGAATCCTAAAAGCAGCAAGTAAAGTGGAACAAATAACATAGAGTGGAGCTCCCATACATCTGGTAGCAAACTTTTCAGTGGAAACCTTACAGGCCAGGAGAGTGTAGCATGACATGTTTAGTAAGTGCTGAAGAAACTTTTATCCCAGAGTAGTATATCAAGCGAAAATATCCTTCAAACATGAAGGAGAAAGACTTTCCCAGACAAACAAAGCTGAGAGATTTTATCAACACCAGTCCTATCCTACAAGAAATGCTAACGGAAGTTCTTCAACCTAAAAGAAAAAGATATTAATAAGCAATAAGAAATCATCTGAATGTACAAAACTCATGGTTAATAGCAAGGACACAGAAAATTACAGAATACTATAACACTGTAATTTTGGTGTGTAACCTACTCATTTCTTGTGTAGAAAGACTAAACACTGAACGGATAAAAAATAATAACTACAACAACTTTTCTAGACATAGACAGTATATAATAAGATATAAATAGAAACAACAAAAAGTTAAAAAGTGGGGTACAAAGTTTAGGTGTCAAATTTTTATTCGTTTCCTCTTTGCTTGTTTGTTAGTTCACTTGTATGTTTATGCAATCTGTAATAAGATGACATCATTTTAAAATAATGACAATTATTTTAAATGGCAATTATTTTAATGACAATCAGACAAGAGAATGATATAAAGTCCATCCAAATTGGAAAGGAAGAAGTCAAATTATCCTTGTTTGCAGATGATATGATCTTGTATTTGGAAAAAACTAGACTTCAACAACAAAAAATGACAATTGATAAACAAATTTAGTAAAGTTGCAGTATTTAAAATCAACATACAAAAATCAGTAGCATTTCTATATGCCGACAGTGAACCATATGGAAAATTAAAAAAATCCCATTTACAATAGCCACAAGTAAAATAAAATACCTGAGAATTAACTTAGCCAAACAAGTGAAAGATCTCTGCAATGAAAACTGTAAAACTGGCTAGGCATGGTGGCTCATGCCTGTAATCCCAGCACTTTGGATAGCTGAAGTTGGTGGATTGCTTGAGCCCAGGAGTTTGAGACCAGCCTGAGTATCATGGTAAAATCCCATTTCTGCAAAAACTACAAAAATTAGCCAGGTGTGGTGGTGTGCACTTGTAGTCACGGCTACTTGAGAGGCTGAGGTGGGAGCATTGCTTGAGCCTAGGAGGTCAAGGCTGTAGTAAGCCATGATCACACCACAGCACTCCAGCCTGGGCAAAAGATCAAGACCCTATCTCAAAAAACCAAAACAAATCTATGAAAAACATTGATGCAAGAAATTGAAGAAGGCACAAAAATGCAGATATTTAATGTTCATGGATTGGAAGAATCAGTATTGTTAACATGTTCATACTACCCAAAGCAATCTACAGATTCAACACAATCCTTATCAAAATGCCAATGACATTCTTCACAGAAATAGGAAAAATAATCTTAAATGGAACTACAAAAGACTCAGAATAGCCAAAGCTATCCTGAGCAAAAAGAAAAAAACTGGAGGAATCACATTACCTGATTTCAAATTATACTAGAGAGTGACAGTAACCAAAACAGCATGGTACTGGCATAAAAACAGACATATAGACCAATGGAACAGAATGGAATAGAACCCAGAAACAAATCCGTACTTCTACAGTGAACTCATTTTCCACAAAGGTGACAAGAACGTACATTGGAAAAAGGGCAGTCTCTTCAATAAATGGTTCCGGGAAATCTGGGTATCCATATGCAGAGGAATGAAACTAGATCCCTATCTCTCACCATACACAGAAAGTCAAATCAAAACAAAAATGGATTAAAGACTTAAATTTAAGATCTCAAACTAAGAAACTACTACAAGAAAATGTTGGAGGAAACTCTCTAGGACATTGGACTGGCAGATTTTTTTGAGTAATACCCCACAACCAAAGTAAAAATGGACAAATGGAATCATATCAAATTAAAAAGTTTCTGCACAACCAAAGAAACAATCAACAAAGTGAAGAGACAGCCCACAGAATGGGAGAAAATATCTGCAAACTACCCATCTGACAAGGGATTAATAACTAGAATATATAAGGAGCTCAAAGAACTCTATGAGTAAAAATGTAATAATCCAATTTTAAAATGGGCAAAAGATCTGAATAGACATTTCTCTAAAGAAGACATACAAATGGTAAATAGGGATAAGAAAAGGTGCTCAACATCACTAATCATGAAAGAAATGCAAATCAAAACTACAATGAAATATAATCTCACCTCAATTAAATGGCTTTTATGCAAAAGAAAGGCAATAATGAATGCTAGTGAGAAGGTGGAGAAAATGGAACCCTCATACACTGTTGGTAGGAATGTAAATTAGTACAACCACTATGGAGAAGTTTGGAGATTCCTCAGAAAACTAAAAATAAAGCTACCATATAATCCAGTAATTCCACTCCCAGGTATATACCCAAAAGAAAGGAAATCCTAGGGATATACCCAAAAGAAAAGAAAGTGTATCAAAGAGATACCTGCACTCTCATGTTTGTTGCAACACTATTCACCACAGTCAAGATTTGGAACCAACCAAAGTGTCCATCAACAGGTGAATGGATATTGAAAATGTGCTACATATACACAATGCAGTACTATTAAGCCATTAAAAAGAATGAGATCCTGTAATTTGCAACAACATGGATGGAACTGGAGGTTATTATGTTAAGTGAAATAGGCCACGCAGAGAAACACAAACATTAAATGTTCTCACTTATTTGTGGGAACTACAAATTGAAACAATTGAACTCATGAAGATAGGGAGTAGAATGATGGTTACCAAAGGTTGAGAAGGTGGTGGCGGTGGGGCAGAGGGGGTTGAGGGAAGTTAGAATGGTTAATGAGTACAAAAAATAGTCAGAATGAATACAATCTAGTATTTGATAGCACAACAGCACGACTATAGTCAACAATAATTTATTGTACATTTAAAAATAACTAAAAAAGTATAATTGAATTATCTGTAACAAAAAGGAAGGATAAATGCTTGAGGTGGTGGATACCCCATTTATCCTGATGTGATTATTATGCATTGTATGCCTGTATCAAAATATCTCATGTATCCCATTAATATATACATCTACTATGTACCTACAAAAATTAAAAAATAAAAATACTGGTATTAATGCACTGCCACAAACATTCTCTACTAAGCCTATAATCGCAGGGTAGGATGTTTATTGGTCAGGGTCAGAATAGGGTGTGTGTGTGCGTGTACTTATGTTTTTGTGTGTGTGTGTGTGTGTATATATATGTATATATACGTATGTGTGTGTGTGTATATATATATAGAGAGAGAGAGAGAGAGATTTATTATAAGGTAAGAAATTAGCTCATGCAGTTATGGAGGCTGAGAAGTCTCAAGATCATCTGCAGGATGATTTCACAGGCTGAAGACCAAAGGAGGTCAATGGTTTAGTTCCAGTTCAAGCCTTATGGCCTGAGAACTAGGAGAACCAATGGTGTAGTTCCCGTGCAAAAGCCAGCAGGCTTAAGACCCAGGAATAGCCAATGTTCCATTTTGAGTCCAGAGACCGGAAAAAGCCATTATTCCAAGTCAAAGCCTATCAGACAGGAAAAATTCTCTCTTACTTAAAGGAGGGCCAGGCTTTTTGGTCTATTCAGGACTTTGACTGATTGAATGAGGCTCACCCACATTATGAAGGCAATCTGCTTTACTCAGTCTACTGATTTACACGCCAATCTCATTCCAAAAAATAACCCTCACAGAAACACTTAGAATAATGTTTGACCAGATATATGGGTACTCTGTGGTCCAGTCAAGTTGACATATAAAATTAACCATTTCAGTAGGGAAAACTGGAAATTCCTAAAAATATATTGTTCCATAAATAAGTGCCCTTTATGAGTTATACACTACTGACAGCATGCATTTTGCAAAGAATCACTTATGAAGAATCTAGAAAACATATAAATAAATATGATAGAGTTGCTGGCCTTCAGATTCTTCTTTTGGCAACTTCAATTCCCCTCTCATCTGACTGAGCACATAAACTCGCTTAAGATGTGCCTCAAATCTCTTTTATCATCTGGTTTTTCATTTCCAGTCCCCCTTCTTCCATTCTCCAAAGTAGTAAGTTATAACGATATACATTTTATGGGAGAAGAGGAAGAATGAAACAGACTTCTATAATTTATCTTCTATCTTAAATACTCCAATAAAAATACTCAAGTCTTCCTACTGTAAATCAACATACTTCACTTTGTGCTATTTAGAATAGACTTTATTTCTAGGGTCTCATATAATAGGGAGTTTTCTTTTTGTTTGCTGCACTGTGGACTCTGTCGTAAAGATAAGTTTTACTGCCTGGCAAACTTTCAGAACGGCTTAATATCCACAGCTTGAGGCCTATTCTCTCATCTTGACTCATGTAACTGCTACAACATACTGGCCACACATATGTTCTGTTTTATGCACAGAATGTCCTGTTTGAGCCACCCAATGGTGACACAACCAGGCAGGTACTAAAGGGAACTTTTAATGAAACTGTGAAATCTTAAGGCCCAAGGATTCATCTGGTTTGGAATCTTGAAACATTGGAAATAGAAGAGCTGTCCAGAATGGCAGTTTTCAAATAGTGGGTTTCCTGAAGTTATATAAAGTAAGGGGAACAAAGAGAGGACTAAGGTGGGTCAGCTATGATCCTAACAATCATACTTCAAGCAGAGTAGGGACAGATTTTTGCTTTACTATATTAGAGTTTCACTGCTAAAACAAAAGCAAAAAAATAAGGCTGAAAGGTATATGGTATTGTTGGGGCCAAGCCCACGGTCTGGTGACTTAGTGTTATGCAGCATTGATCTTCTGAGTCCCCAGATAGCCTCCCTGTCTTTTATCTGATGTCACCTAAGAGGATGGATGTGAAAAAAGTGGCAGTGAGGCTTTGTGAACACATGGATTTGAAGAAGTGTAAAGATCAGCTAGTGTTGGAGGTTCTGAAAAAGAAAATTTTCAACTGTTTTGGAAACAAAACATAACAAGATCCTCACTTTCTGCTTCTGGCCTTCAACAGTTACATTCTGAAGAAATTTTAACTCCCTAGAGATTTTATAAAACAGATTTATGTAAGATAGTTTGCACTGTATAATCAATCTTGTCAAAAGAGAGAAAAAAGAAGTCTGTCGTTTTAAAACATGATCTGTTACTGATGAGTGAAAAGCTGAGCTGTTTCAAGGATAAAGCTTAATGTAATGAATAAAAAGTGAATTACGATGTTATCCTCAGAAAATAATGTATCAATTATTCCCTATGTCATTACTCTTGCTGTAGTTAAAGAAGAAAACCATAACGTGTATGAATATATATATTCCATGCTTACCTGGGTACTAAAGTTAACAGACATCATTAGTCCTGTCCCAGAATCTCTGGCCACCTGCAGACTGATTAAAGTGGCCTTCTTGTGAGCCACTGCCAGCCGAGAACCCACAGAAAAATACACAAGGCTTTGAGATTCATCACTTTCTAAGATTTTAATCTGTGCGAATCTGGCACTGTTGTTTATTGCTGCTCCAGCAGTAGCTTCATATAGTTCCACAAAAAAATACACTTCAACCTGTGGTACCTGACAATGAGAAAAAGGAAAAAAAAACAACTATTACTAATATATTTCTATCTGTAGATAGTTCTGATATTTAAATATTGTATAATTCATATACATTTTTAGAGAAATAAATATATAAATCTAGAGATATATTCTGTATAATTACGGAATTAAATTCTTAGATTATCATGACATTTATTTTTGGTCTTTCTTTAAAAATACATTTACTTTCTCTGGGCGAGCTTCTTACTAGAAAATCAATGTCAGGAAACAACCTATGTTTACTACGATCAGCAAAAAAATAAATTAAATGTATTCATACCACAAAACACTATAAAGTAGTTAAAAGGAATAAACTAATTCAATGTTTTTTAACACAGATGCATCTCAAAATATGACAGTAAGTGAAAATATCAAGCTGTATAATGATATGTATAGAATGATACCATAAAAGTAAAGTTAAAACTACATAAAGCTTACTATATTTTATTAATAGATACATATTTATGTAAAGTTTTCTTTTTTAACTACCACACCCTGACAGCAGTTGCCTTGGGTGGAGGGTTTGGGTGGGGACAGGGCAGGGAGTGGAGTTGGAGAATATTACTGAGGAGGGGGAAAAAAATGGATCTTCAATTTTGTAAGGTTCTATTTTTATTTCTTTTATTTTTAAAGTGTTTTAAATAAATATAATCAAATATTTATAATAGTCAATTCTGAAGTTTTATGTATTTTTCAAAATTTTCCAAAATTCAGTATATAGTCTAAATATAGTCTGCTGGTTACAGTTTGCTCATGTTTCACCTTGGTTCCTTCTCAACAGTCTCAAATAATTTATTTTCTAAAGCCTGAATTCAATTTTATAACATATTGGCAATCACCTGTTTTTACTAATGATTCACTCTTAACAAAATCATCCACAAATCTTAGCAATATTGTTACCCATCTGGCATAACTCAAAGGAGCTAAGCTGATGCCTTTACAACTGCAGTGACATTGTCTAATTTGATATAATGTATCATTTTTACCTACCAGCAATGACCATTATGTTTTGTGACCATTTTAATGATAACTATTACATCATGAAATGATACAACCAACCCTTCAGAATTATCCAAGTGTTTATAAGTAAGTTATATCTTAGTTATAGCATAAATCAACTTAATCTCCTTTTGTTTTCTGAAGAAATACTTAGTTTTTTCTGTGGCACATATCATTCTTTACTGTTGCTGATTAACTGTCAGTTGATATTGAAATATGGAAATAATTGTACTGTGTCCACTTTTGAGAAACTACATTTGGCAAATACAATAAACTAAAGCACTATCAAAGTATAGTAACTATATTCAAGACCTAGTATGGCCAAGCGAGCTTGAATTCAAAGTAGTTTCTTTTAACTAAGGATTTCGGTATATTACATTCCAACAGACTTTTATTTTCTAGAAAAATATTCCTTTTTCATTGTGACGATGATTAGAACATACTTATAGCCACCTACAAACAAAATAATATGTTATAATCTAAGTTAAGAATCATCTGAAATTGAACAGTGTAAAGATGGGTGCCTACATATCATTAGACTAGTAACATAAAGAGTCTTCAAGTCTTAGAAATAAACACTCTATTGAAACAATATTTCTGAAGTCTAATGAGAAATCAAGACTTGCAGATCATATGTGAACCTCCCTAGACTCCTAAAAATGACAGAGACCTCATAAGAGCCCATTCCATGTGTAATTCCCAGCAGGTTCTTTTCCTGGTTAGGTCAGAAGCATCCCAGGATGATCTTTTGCCCTAACTAGTATAAGATGATTTTTCCAGGGACCAGAACTATTCAGCAATAGAAAAACCAAAGTAACAATGAAACAATACCTTACTTAAATATTTTTGAAAATATTTGCAACAAATATTTAAACACTGGATTCAAACAGATTTTGTGGTTAAGAGCATGCTTCCTAAGTTGTTACCTTTTACATTTTACTAATATAGAATCATAAGATAAATAATCAGGAAAAGGGGAAATGGACTGGAATTCAAGAGATGAGTTCTAATCTTGGCCCAGTAATTGAATTGGGCGAGTTACTTAAATTCTTCATAATTCAAAAGTGAAAGTATTGAAAAACTGTAGAGATGATAATCTGAGATAGGACAGAGTCAAAAAACTTTGAGTGCCAATAGACTGGATTGAGGTGAGGGACACTGCCATTAATGAGTGGTGTAATTCTGTGGATGCATTTGTTGTGTCTGCAATATCTGTAACTCTTCTACCACTTGTGTTGATGTAGTTATTACTCAAGTCATTGCATTCCCTCGGGCTCCATCTCCATCCATTCTGAATAATCTCAATACTCACCATCTCTTATGAAGGGCCAACTCTGCCGAGAGCTGTGCTAAGAACTTCTCATTCATTATTTTCTTTATCTGCCTCACAGCCCTGTTATTAACCCCGTTAAACCTGGGAGGCTCAGGAAGGCTAAGCAACCTGTCCAATGTCACCCAGCTAATTGGTAGAAGAGTTAATATTTGAACTAAAGTCTTCCATTATCAGAACCCTAACTCTTAAACTGACTCCAGTGACTCCAAGAATAAGTTCAGTGTAACTGATGTCTTTCCTTTGACAAAAAATGAAGAAGATGGTGCTTAGGTCAAAAATCTAGCAATAATTGGGTGGCTCTACTAGGACCTCCAAATAATTTCTCAAAGCCCACTACAGAAGAATATTGTCACAGAACATGTATTGTGTATATCATTAGGTCTCAGTTTATCTGACATAATAATAATTTGAACTGGATGAGTAATAAATTCCCTTCTACTAATAACATGTAAAATGTTAAAATGTATATCAAAAGTTCATAGTACTTTTTGAAAAACACTTTTTCATTTTCATGAGAAAATAATCATCTTCCATCTTCTCTCTTTTTAAATTTCCTCTTAATGAAACTAGAATATATATTAACCTTGCTTGTTCCTTGCCTTTTAACAGGTGAAAAGATAATGAGGGAAAAAATGTCTTGAAAATTAGCTGCTTCTCAGAATGCAGAAGAAAACTCTACGATTTGAATATCATATGTGAAAGAGAAAGAAGAGGTGTGACTAATTTTTTTCTCTTACCTAACTGAAACTTTTGATAATGGGCTCAGTAGCATTTCTCTAGTTAGGAAAACAAATATATACAGTTAGCATCCCATGTATTGCATACAACATTTTCTTACCCCTTAATTATATATTCTTCTGCAAGGAGGGCAAGCTCAGAGGAAGTAGTCTACCCTAACCCCACCTATACTTTAACTTTCCTATTTCTCTTTATTCAGCTTGCCCAAGCCCACTCCTAATGGCTCTTCTCCTCTCTCTTCTTAGAATTACAAGTTTAACATCTACTGTACGAGACAGATGTTTAAAGCCTAGTGAGATCGTATCAGTATTCTAATTCACCAAAAATCCTATTTGAGATAAAATGCACAATATAATATTTAGTAATCATGTATGCAAAACATATTTATGAAGAATGCAAAACCATATTCTAATTTTTGAACAGCTAACAGTCTTATAGTCTATATAAACTATGCATAAGTTGTAACACTGCATATAACTGATAATTTCCATAGGAAAGGAACAGATAATGTTTTATAAATTTAGAGAATCAACGACTCCAACTAGAGGTTTCATGGGAGGCATCATGGAGAAAGTGGTATTTTGATTAACGGAAAGCTATAGTTAAGAAATATGGGGGCTAGGCATGCTGACTCATGCCTGTAATCCCAGCACATTGGGAGGCCAAGGTGGGCGGATCGCTTGAGGCTATAAGTTCCAGACTAGCCAGGCCAACAGGGTGAAACCCCGTCTCTACTAAAAATACAAAAATTAGTTGGGCATGGTGGTGTGCACCTATAATCCCAGCTACTCAGGAGGCTGAGGCATGAGAATCGCTTGAACTCAGGAGGTGGAAGTTGCAGTGAGCCGAGATCACAGCACTGCACTGCAGCCTGGACAACAGAGTGAGACTCCACCTCAAAAAAGAAAAAAAAAAGAAATATGGGGTTGAGAGGGTTGATGGAAGCATAAAAATATTTGGAAGAAATGCATGAAGAAGAGTTTAAATTCAAGTAGAATACAGTAAGTCTTCACTTAACCATGACAGGTTCTTGGAAACAGCAACTTTAAATGAAAGGACATACTGTGTGCAGTAGGAAGTCAACTGTTTAACTGATATAAACATCAATTAGTCTATGGTAAAATTGGTTTCATTATACAGCACATTGTTTCACGTAAAGTTGCAGTTTCCAAGAGCCTATTGAGGACGTGAAGTGAGGACATACTATATGATCAAATGTCTTGAGTATTGAAATTTCAGTTCCTCATTGTCAGTGTGACAGAAAGTTTTAGTAGCTGATGATAACTCCACTCAAGAAAAGCAAAAAACAATGATGTGATATGCTAAACTACGAAAAAGAGTGGGGATTCCAGGCTTTAAGGAAAATATATTTTCCAGCACTACCACCACCAAGGTGGCCACAACAGCAACACATTTGCCTGCATCAACTTTCCTATATAGCTGTAGTACATACATATAGATCTCTAAAATCCTTTCTGATCAAAGAAATCAAGTCCTTTGACACTAGTTAATTGGCTGTCTTACATCAGGGAAAAAATCAAGACAGCTCTAGAATATTTGTTATTGCTATAAAGCAAGTATGCTTCCAGATATTTTAAAAGTAATATTGAAAAGACAAAAGACCAGCTTAATAAGACTACCAGTGGCCATGCCATGACTATTTGAATACCAAAAAGAAAATCACTTAGTAAGTAATAAAAATTATTTGAATTTGAATTTATAGTGATACTGAAAGAAATGTTATTGTAATATAAAAAAGAGATACCATGCAAGATAAATGTGATTCTAACAGCATATACTTAATATTTTATTAATTTTAATGTGTAGAAGAGTTAGCATATCGACATGTCTTTTATTAAGCATGTGTTCATTTATTAAGCAATGATAAACATTTTTTTCTTTGTATGTAAGTAGGAAGGGGCTAACAAAAAGAATTGTGAATAAGACATTTATTTCTAGAAAAGGAAAGAATTGTACCAAGAATACAAATAAAAGAAGTTAAACCTACATGGTTGTTATTTTAGAATGGCAAGAAACAAAAAAATAGAAAAATGACAAGTTTATTTACAAAATACCATAATGTAATCAAGTCTGTCTAAAGCCTGTTGTCGGCAAAGAGATTTAGACATTATGGCTAAGAAAAACACAAAGAATCTCCCTATCAACAATGTGTAAGTTTCAATAGTGGTTTTAAAATGATTAATTCTAAAGAAATATAATTAGAAGTTGACACTAGTGTGTCTCTTCATTTCTTACCTTTTCTGGTTTGAGTTCAATGCTGATAAAGCATTTTGTTTGACCCATTGTACAGGTTGTGGTCCCTGACACAGACTGAAGTTCCTCCACCAGGTTTACCCCATCCTTCTGGAGCACGACGACTGTTTTGTTAAGTGTGACTCGCCAAAAGACCTTGACATCTTCAAAGGCCCTGTGAGCAAGAAACCCACCAATGCCTTAACAGAGGGTGTCATCCCCATGTCTAATAGAGTTTATTATCAAATAATGGTACCTCTTCATCCAAAGTATACCAAATGGTACCTCTTCATCCAAAGTATAGCACTTACTTTACCACTGATGATGCAGAAAATGACCAATTTTCCTCACTACAGATAAGAGGATTAAGCCTCAGGGCTTATGTGGTTTTCTTTGAATACACTCCATTCAACAATGAATAAGTATCCTAATACTCTGTATAAGGAATGTAAAAACAAATAATATTTTTCGAGAAGGAAATAAAGGGCATCCAATTAGGAAAAGAGGAAGTCAAATTGTCCCTGTTTGCAGATGACATGATTGTATATTTAGAAAACCCCATCATCTCAGCCCAGAATCTCCTTAAGCTGATAAGCAACTTCAGCAAAGTCTCAGGATACAAAATCAATGTACAGAAATCACAAGCACCCTTATACACCAATAACAGACAAACAGAGAGCCAAATCATGAGTGAACTCCCATTCACAATTGCTTCAAAGAGAATAAAATACCTAGGAATCCAACTTACAAGGGATGTGAAGGACCTCTTCAAGGAGAACTATAAACCACTGCTCAATGAAATAAAAGAGGATACAAACAAGTGGAAGAACATTCCATGCTTATGGGTAGGAAGAATCAATATCATGAAAATGGCCATACTGCTTAAGGTAATTTATAGATTCAATGCCAACCCCATCAAGCTACCAATGACTTTCTTCACAGAATTGGAAAAAACTACTTTAAAGTTCATATGGAACCAAAAAAGAGCCCGCATCGCCGAGTCAGTCCTAAGCCAAAAGAACAAAGCTGGAGGCATCACGCTACCTGACCTCAAACTATACTACAAGGCTACAGTAACCAAAACAGCATGGTACTGGTACCAAAACAGAGATACAGATCAATGGAACAGAACAGAGCCCTCAGAAATAACGCCACATGAAGGAGGAGCCAAGATGGCCGAATAGGAACAGCTCCGGTCTACAGCTCCCAGCGTGAGCAACGCAGAAGACGGGTGATTTCTGCATTTCCATCTGAGGTACCAGGTTCATCTCACTAGGGAGTGCCAGACAGTGGGCGCAGGTCAGTGGGTGTGTGCACCGTGCGCGAGCCGAACCAGGGCGAGGCATTGCCTCACTTGGGAAGCGCAAGGGGTCAGGGAGTTTCCTTTCCGAGTCAAAGAAAGGGGTGACGGACGCACCTGGAAAATCGGGTCACTCCCACCCAAATATTGCGCTTTTCGGACCGGCTTAAAAAACGGCACACCACGAGATTATATCCCGCACCTGGCTCGGAGGGTCCTACGCCCACAGAGTCTCGCTGATTACTAGCACAGCAGTCTGAGATCAACCTGCAAGGCGGCAGCGAGGCTGGGGGAGGGGCGCCCGCCATTGCCCAGGCTTGCTTATTTAAACAAAGCAGCCAGGAAGCTCAAACTGGGTGGAGCCCACCACAGCTCAAGGAGGCCTGCCTGCCTCTGTAGGCTCCACCTCTGGGGGCAGGGCACAGACAAACAAAAAGACAGCAGTAACCTCTGCAGACTTAAATGTCCCTGTCTGACAGCTTTGAAGAGAGCAGTGGTTCTCCCAGCACGCAGCTGGAGATCTGAGAACGGGCAGACTGCCTCCTCAAGTGGGTGCCTGACCCCTGACCCCGAAGCAGCCTAACTGGGAGGCACCCCCCAGCAGGGGCACACTGACACCTCACACGGCAGGCTATTCCAACAGACCTGCAGCTGAGGGTCCTGTCTGTTAGAAGGAAAACTAACAAACAGAAAGGACATCCACACCAAAAACCCATCTGTACATCATCATCATCAAAGACCAAAAGTAGATAAAACCACAAAGATGGGGAAAAAACAGAACAGAAAAACTGGAAACTCTAAAACGCAGAGCGCCTCTCCTCCTCCAAAGGAACGCAGTTCCTCACCAGCAACGGAACAAAGCTGGATGGAGAATGACTTTCACGAGCTGAGAGAAGAAGGCTTCAGACGATCAAATTACTCTGAGCTACGGGAGGACATTCAAACCAAAGGCAAAGAAGTTGAAAACTTTGAAAAAAATTTAGAAGAATGTACAACTAGAATAACCAATACAGAGAAGTGCTTAAAGGAGCTGATGGAGCTGAAAACCAAGGCTCGAGAACTACGTGAAGAATGCAGAAGCCTCAGGAGCCGATGCGATCAACTGGAAGAAAGGGTATCAGCAATGGAAGATGAAATGAATGAAATGAAGCGAGAAGGGAAGTTTAGAGAAAAAAGAATAGAAAGAAATGAGCAAAGCCTCCAAGAAATATGCGACTATGTGAAAAGACCAAATCTACGTCTGATTGGTGTACCTGAAAGTGATGGGGAGAATGGAACCAAGGTGGAAAACACTCTGCAGGATATTATCCAGGAGAACTTCCCCAATCTAGCAAGGCAGGCCAACATTCAGATTCAGGAAATGCAGAGAACGCCACAAAGATACTCCTCGAGAAGAGCAACTCCAAGACACATAACTGTCAGATTCACCAAAGTTGAAATGAAGGAAAAAATGTTAAGGGCAGCCAGAGAGAAAGGTCGGGTTACCCTCATAGGGAAGCCCATCAGACTAACAGCGGATCTCTCGGCAGAAACCCTACAAGCCAGAAGAGAGTGGGGGCCAATATTCAACATTCTTAAAGAAAAGAATTTTCAACCCAGAATTTCATATCCAGCCAAACTAAGCTTCATAAGTGAAGGAGAAATAAAATACTTTACAGACAAGCAAATGCTGAGAGATTTTGTCACCACCAGGCCTGCCCTAAAAGAGCTCCTGAAGCAAGCACTAAACATGGAAAGGAACAACCGGTACCAGCCGCTGCAAAATCATGCCAAAATGTAAAGACCATCGAGACTAAGAAGAAACTGCATCAACTAATGAGCAAAATCACCCCTAACATCATAATGACAGGATCAAATTCACACATAACAATATTAACTTTAAATGTAAATGGACTAAATGCTCCAATTAAAAGACACAGACTGGCAAATTGGATAAAGAGTCAAGACCCATCAGTGTGCTGTATTCAGGAAACCCATCTCACGTGCAGAGACACACATAGGCTCAAAATAAAAGGATGGAGGAAGATCTACCAAGCAAATGGAAAACAAAAAAAGGCAGGGGTTGCAATCCTAGTCTCTGATAAAACAGACTTTAAACCAACAAAGATCAAAAGAGACAAAGAAGGCCATTACATAATGGTAAAGGGATCAATTCAACAAGAAGAGCTAACTATCCTAAATATATATGCACCCAACACAGGAGCACCCAGATTCAAAAAGCAAGTCCTGAGTGACCTACAAAGAGACTTAGACTCCCACACATTAATAATGGGAGACTTTAACACCCCACTGTCAACATTAGACAGATCAACGAGACAGAAAGTCAACAAGGATACCCAGGAATTGAACTCAGCTCTGCACCAAGCAGACCTAACAGACATCTACAGAACTCTCCACCCCAAATCAACAGAATATACATTTTTTTCAGCACCACACCACACCTATTCCAAAAATGACCACGTACTTGGAAGTAAAGCTCTCCTCAGCAAATGTAAAAGAACAGAGATTATAACAAACTATCTCTCAGACCACAGTGCAATCAAACTGGAACTCAGGATTAAGAATCTCACTCAAAACCGCTCAACTACATGGAAACTGAACAACCTGCTCCTGAATGACTACTGGATACATAACGAAATGAAGGCAGAAATAAAGATGTTCTTTGAAACCAACGAGAACAAAGACACAACATACCAGAATCTCTGGGACACATTCAAAGCAGTGTGTAGAGGGAAATTTATAGCACTAAATGCCCACAAGAGAAAGCAGGAAAGATCCAAAATTGACACCCTAACATCACAATTAAAAGAACTAGAAAAGCAAGAGCAAACACATTCAAAAGCGAGCAGAAGGCAAGAAATAACTAAAATCAGAGCAGAACTGAAGGAAATAGAGACACAAAAAACTCTTCAAAAAATTAATGAATCCAGGAGCTGGTTTTTTGAAAGGATCAACAAAATAGATAGACCGCTAGCAAGACTAATAAAGAAAAAAAGAGAGAAGAATCAAATAGACGGAATAAAAAATGATAAAGGGGATATCACCACCAATCCCACAGAAATACAAACTACCATCAGAGAATACTACAAACACCTCTACGCAAATAAACTAGAATATCTAGAAGAAATGGATAAATTCCTTGACACATACACTCTCCCAAGACTAAACCACAAAGAAGTTGAATCTCTGAATAGACCAATAACAGGAGCTGAAATTGTAGCAATAATCAATAGTTTACCAACCAAAAAGAGTCCAGGACCAGATGGATTCACAGCCGATTTCTACCAGAGGTACAAGGAGGAACTGGTACCATTCCTTCTGAAACTATTCCAATCAACAGAAAAAGAGGGAATCCTCCCTAACTCATTTTATGAGGCCAGCATCATTCTGATACCAAAGCCGGGCAGAGACACAACCAAAAAAGAGAATTTTAGACCAATATCCTTGATGAACATTGATGCAAAAATCCTCAATAAAATACTGGCAAAACGAATCCAGCAGCACATCAAAAAGCTTATCCACCATGATTAAGTGGGCTTCATCCCTGGGATGCAAGGCTGGTTCAATATACGCAAATCAATAAATGTAATCCAGCATATAAACAGAGCCAAAGACAAAAACCACATGATTATCTCAATAGATGCAGAAAAAGCCTTTGACAAAATTCAACAACCCTTCATGCTAAAAATTCTCAATAAATTAGGTATTGATGGGATGTATTTCAAAATAATAAGAGCTATCTATGACAAACCCACAGCCAATATCATACTGAATGGGCAAAAACTGGAAGCATTCCCTTTGAAAACTGGCACAAGACAGGGATGCCCTCTCTCACCACTCCTATTCAACATAATGTTGGAAGTTCTGGCCAGGGCAATTAGGCAGGAGAAGGAAATAAAGGGTATTCAATTAGGAAAAGAGGAAGTCAAATTGTCCCTGTTTGCAGATGACATGATTGTATATCTAGAAAACCCCATTGTCTCAGCCCAAAATCTCCTTAAGCTGGTAAGCAACTTCAGCAAAGTCTCAGGATACAAAATCAATGTACAAAAATCACAAGCATTCTTACACACCAACAACAGACAAACAGAGAGCCAAATCATGAGTGAACTCCCATTCACAATTGCTTCAAAGAGAATAAAATACCTAGGAATCCAACTTACAAGGGATGTGAAGGACCTCTTCAAGGAGAACTACAAACCACTGCTCAAGGAAATAAAAGAGGATACAAACAAATGGAAGAACATTCCATGCTCATGGGTAGGAAGAATCAATATCGTGAAAATGGCCATAGTGCCCAAGGTAATTTACAGATTCAATGCCATCCCCATCAAGCTACCAATGACTTTCTTCACAGAATTGGAAAAAACTACTTTAAAGTTTGTATGGAACCAAAAAAGAGCCTGCATCGCCAAGGCAATCCTAAGCCAAAAGAACAAAGCTGGAGGCATCACACTACCTGATTTCAAACTATACTACAAGGCTACAGTAACCAAAACAGCATGGTACTGGTACCAAAACAGAGATATAGATTAATGGAACAGAACAGAGCCCTCAGAAGTAACGCCGCATATCTACAACTATCTGATCTTTGACAAACCTGAGAAAAACAAGCAATGGGGAAAGGATTCCCTATTTAACAAATGGTGCTGGGAAAACTGGCTAGCCATATGTAGAAAGCTGAAACTGGATCCCTTCCTTACACCTTACACAAAAATCAATTCAAGATGGATTAAAGACTTAAACATTAGACCTAAAACCATAAAAACCCTAGAAGAAAACCTAGGCATTACCATTCAGGACACAGGCATGGGCAAGGACTTCATGTCCAAAACACCAAAAGCAATGGCAACAAAAGCCAAAATTGACAAATGGGATCTAATTAAACTAAAGAGCTTCTGCACAGCAAAAGAAACTACCATCAGAGTGAACAGGCAACCTACAAAATGGGAGACAATTTTCGCAACCTACTCATCTGACAAAGGGCTAATATCCAGAATCTACAATGAACTCAAACAAATTTACAAGAAAAAAAACAAACAACCCCATCAAAAAGTGGGTGAAGGACATGAACAGACACTTCTCAAAAGAAGACATTTATGCAGCCAAAAAACACATGAAAAAATGCTCATCATCACTGGCCATCAGAGAAATGCAAATCAAAACCACAATGAGATACCATCTCACACCAGTTAGAACGGCAATCATTAATAAGTCAGGAAACAACAGGTGCTGGAAAGGGTGTGGAGAAATAGGAACACTTTTACACTGTTGGTGGGACTGTAAACTAGTTCAACCATTGTGGAAGTCAGTGTGGCAATTCCTCAGGGATCTAGAACTAGAAATACCATTTGACCCAGCCATCCCATTACTGGGTATATACCCAAAGGACTATAGATCATGCTGCTATAAAGACACATGCACACGTATGTTTATTGCGGCACTATTCACAATAGCAAAGACTTGGAACCAACCCAAATGTCCAACAATGATAGACTGGATTAAGAAAATGTGGCACATATACACCATGGAATACTATGCAGCCATAAAAAATGATGAGTTCATGTCCTTTGTAGGGACATGGATGAAGCTGGAAACCATCATTCTCAGCAAACTATCGCAAGGACAAAAAACCAAACACCACATGTTCTCATTCATAGGTGGGAACTGAACAATGAGAACACATGGACACAGGAAGGGGAACATCACCCACTGGGGACTGTTGTGGGGTGGGGGGAGGGGGGAAGGATAGCATTAGGAGATATACCTAATGCTAAATGATGAGTTAATGGGTGCAGCACACCAACATGGCACATGTGTACATACGTAACAAACCTGCACATTATGCACATGTACCCTAAAACTTAAAGTATAATAATAATAAAATTTAAAAAATCTTAAATTATAATAATAATAAAATTTAAAAAAAAACAGAAAATTAAAAAAATATATTTTTCTATTATGTCCAAAAAATGTGAAAATGAGAATTATAGGGAGGTCCTAAAGGCAAGTAAATGTTCCTCATTTCTCTTTTAAAAAGGATTTTTCTAAAGAAACAACACTTCCACTCATAATGGTTGCTATTGTAAAATAGGGCAAAGGGAGACCAACATTCTCACAGATTATTTAGGCCCAAAATGGAAAATGTAATATATACACATGTGCATGTGTGCATACCAAGCACGTGTATGTGATGAGCATCTAAAGATGCTACTATACAGTTTTAAGTTGCAAACAAAGTTTTGGTACTCCAAGTTTTCATCACAGGAAAATGGTATGTATGTAGAGTGAGCAGATAATAGGCAATATGATGAAGTGATGACCTACATAGTCTGATATTTGTATGGTACTTCATGAAGTAGAAAACACTCAAGGTAACCCTAAGTTATGATCATAAACGAAGTACCATAATCACAAATTAAGAACTAGAGCATCTGAAGACGTGCCAAATTCGACACTACCTCCTTCTATCTTACCCTGCCCTCCACCATTGTATGAATTGAAATTACATTTGTACAGACACACAGAATGTTACGTCTTCCATATACTATATATACACATACCTGTTTGGCTGTCTTGTGACAATAAGGTGCAATCTTCTCATAACAGCTCCTTCCCTGAGTTCTAGTCCACTCTGGGACTCCTCACTGAATCCTATGATGCCATTGTGAAGGTCACTCCCTGAAAAAAAGAATGGAGGGCTATAATATATTCAAGAATTATTTAAAAGACCTCCCATGCTCCACTAATCTTGCCAGCTCAGATGGTTTAAAAGTGAGAAATTCACAGGTGGTGAGGAGAGCTACAGTTGTTAAAAGATCTTTATTAAAAATAAACTAAACTGTGATAACATCAAGGTGTCTAACTGGGAATAGAAGAAAAGAAGAAATAAAACATCAAATCCCACTCTTTCCCCCTGACACACACATATTCATTTTTCTATTAAGATCCTACTTTACATTTGACAGTCCTTGAAATTTTAGATATTTATCTGTTTTAAGGCTATATATCCCTCACAGAATGTAAGCCCTACTAGAGCATCAACTTTTATTCGCTACTGTATCCCCAGCTCCGAGAACAGAACTGAGCATATAGTAAGTGTTGAATAAATACTTGTCAAATAAATGAACTCTGTTCAACGGATTTACCTTCACATAAGACGTTTGATTAAAAGACCCTCTATGCTATCCATGAAGCTATTTGCCCCAGAACAAAACAGAAATATTAAGGAACTCCTGAGCATCTCGGTATCAGAAACTTTCCTAAGCAACACTTGAGGTTACGGGTACCATTATACTAAAAAAAAAAATGTTTAAACTGGAACAAAACTAGGGTTCATACTATACAGAAATCATCACTTCAAACCCTAGGCAGCAACTAAGCCAGCTTCTCAGACTAGAGAAATACCACTGCATAGTTCTGACTGCTTTCTATTCTCCATGGCCCTGTTTTGCATTGGTCCTAGAAGCAATGATCCTAAAGCAATTGGCCTCGAAAACCATGTGTATTAGTTCATTTTTATGCTGCTATAAAGATGCTACCTGAGATTAGGTAATTTATAAACAAAAGAGGTTTAATTGATTCACAGTTTTGCATGTCTGGGGAGGCCTCAGCAAACTTACAATCACGGTGGAAGGGGAAGCAAAGCACGTCATATATGGTGGCAGGAGAGAGACAGCAAAGGAAGTGCTACTTTTAAACCATCAGATCTCACGAGAACTCACTCACTATCACAAGAACAGCATGGGGGAAACTGCCCCCATGATCCAATAATCTCCCACCAGATCCCACCCTTGACACATGGGGATTTGGGGGATTACAACTGGAGATGAAAATTGAGTGGGGACACAGAGCCAAACCATATTATCATGTGTACCCATCACCCTGAAACCTGATTCCTGGCATTCTAAGGAGACAGAACTTCTGAAATTAGGGAGTAGGTTGGGTTAAGGAAACAGAAAACCACTGAACTGTCCTGATAGGGAAGAACTAGTAGTCATCAGCCCCTGGACCATTTCCCTGGTCTTAAAGTAAATGTGGAGCCCCTTTATTAGGGACATGCAAGTGATGGGCTACATTTGTCCTAGGGTCTCATGTGTGTTTTGTTTCAGACTGCCAATTCTCATCCTCACCAATTAATCACTGCAATCACTTCGTAGCCTGGTATCAGAATCTGACATTGACTTTTTATCTTTGGCAGCAATTCTTTTCTTGTCACCTTAAGTGAGGATTTGGGCTCTTCAAGTAGATTACAAGACTATCACAGCAGAACCCTCATTTCCTTTTCCAAGGCAATAGCAACTAGCATGATTCTAATGAAAAAACACTTCCCTTGTCACATTTACAATAATAAATTTGATTTCAAATTTCTAGTAAAATGATTCCAGACTTGTAATGTGCCAATGATCAAAATCAAAACTAAATAAACTATTTTTTCCCTGACTTACTCAGAAAGTTTGTTCTAAAATCTAAATGTGAAAAGATTATAAAGGTAGGTGGATGCAGCAAAATTAATTATCCGGTTAAGTGAGAAATATTATTAAGAAAAAAATGTCAGGTAGGGAAAAGATGAGGGCAACATTTGCAGGTAAAGGAACTTAAGGTATTATGACCACGTGAATGTGCCTGGTGGTGTAGTCAGGCCAATTACATCATACGACATTAGTGGTAGCTATGGTAGGGTATCGGTCATTTGCAACAGGTGTGTGATGAGTGTGCCTTATGTAGGGAAGGTAAACATTACAGAATCTCACAGAGCTCAGCTGAGTTACCATTTGCCTGTTGAGTTAAAACTAAGCTCAGAGCTGATGAAGGGGTAGGCACTGGTAGGCTATATTGTCTGATAAAACAGGGAAGCACTTCCATTCCAGTTGGTACCTAACTTCTATCCTGAGCCCCTAAAGAGTCCTCTGCCACTTCCCTAACCAGGACAACAAGACCTCCCCATGATCCAGTAATTAATGGAGTATGGCTTGGAACAGCAAAGAACCTCCAGAAGCCATTTTAATGGGCCTGGCCAGTGCCAAACTAATTGTTAAGTATTTTTACTATCAGCCCTGGTTATATTCAAATACCTGTAATAAAATATCTGTGTCTCTATTAGAATGAGAAGGAGGATGCTGACTGCCAAATAAATTTTTTTTTTTTTTTTTTTTTTTTTTTTTTTTGAGACGGAGTCTTACTCTGTCGCCCAGGCTGGAGTGTAGTGGCGTGATCTGGGCTCACTGCAAGCTCCGTCTCCCAGGTTCACGCCATTCTCCTGCCTCAGCCTCCCGAGTAGCTGGGACGACAGGTGCCTGCCACCATGCCTGGCAAATTTTTTGTATTTTTTTAGTAGAGATGGGGTTTCACCGTGTTAGTCAGGATGGTCTCGATCTCCTGACCTCGTGATCCGCCCGACTCGGCCTCCCAAAGTGCTGGGATTACAGGTGTGAGCCACCGTGCCCAGCTACCAAATTAATTTTAATAGAAATATATAAATGGCATTAAGCCAATTTGAATCAAAATCAGTAAATAACTTGTAGAATAGAATAAGAATTTACAACACACTTCATAAACTGTAGAAACAGGAATAAATCATACTAATTGATGTAAATTTGTAGGTTAACATAAATGAGATAATGCTGAGCATATGAAAGGAAGTTAAAAGATTGCAAAATTATGACTGAATTAAAACTGAGTGGCTAAAATAAAATACGAACTCTAGGAAGCATCAAATCTCAAAAATATGTTTTGAGGTCTATTGCACAGAATGGTGAATATGGTTAATATAGAGTACTGTACATTTCCAAGTTTCTAAGATAGTAAATTTGAAATATTCTCACTATAAAAAAAGTTAAGTACTTGAGGTAATGTACATGTTAACTAGCTTGATTAAATTATTCTACACTGCATTTATAATCATAACATCATTCCTTGTACCCTCTAAATATGTACAATTATAAGTTGTCACTTTACAATAAAACATGAAAATGAAAAAAGAAAAGAATCATGAGATAGCCTGTCACTTCTCTAATTCCTATAAGGTATTGACATGCTGATGTATTTCATTTAAAGAAATACAGTATGATTTCAGGCCGGGTGCAGTGGCTCACGCCTGTAATCCCAGCACTTTGGGAGGCTGAGGCAGGTGGATCACGAGGTCAGGAGTTCAAGACCAGCTGGCCAACATGATGAAACCCTGTCTCTACTAAAAATAAAAAAAATTAGCCGGGCGTGGTGGCAGGTGCCTGTAATCCCAGCTACTCGGGAAGCTGAGTCAGAGAACTGCTTGAACCCGGGAGGCAGAGGTTGCAGTGAGCTGTGATCATGCCACTGCACTACAGCCTGGGCAACAGAGCAAGACTCCATCTCCAAAAAAAAAAAAAAAAATACAGTATGATTTCAGAGGTAAACTGCAAACTGTCATGAAAAGATTGCATAAGATACATGAGAAACAAAAAAATTATTAAAATTTTAAGCTATTGTAACGTATATACACAATAGTATGATGGCTATATCAACTACATTGGGTCAAAAGCAAAACAAAAGGCAACAGTTTAAATCTTTTTGGTAACAGAAAAAAAAAAAAAAGAATTTCCTGCCAATGAGATCTTTGACTTTAGGATGGATTACTGAAAGTAGCTGGTAAATTTAGAATCAAGTTTCAAAACAGGATAGGCAATCATGTGTTTGGATGATTAAATTAAACGTTATTTATATTGTGAGAGTATAGATTTATAGATTGTATTACTGGCTCTGATCTCAGTGACATTTATAGTACATTAAATTATAGGGCCCTCAGAACAGCACATCATGAGTTCATGTCATGGGTCCATGCTACAGAAAAACAACACTTTAATGCATTCCTATGAATAACTTAAGAACTTCACCTTCTTCCATTAAATTTAAGCTAGATTCACCTTAATACAAATTATGTACCATAAAAGTATATTTTTATCTCCATCATTTCAAAGATATACCTGTAATAATAACCATGGCAAAAGCTGCAAATCCAGTATCATCCTTCTCCTCCACAATCTGTGCTCCCCCTTGAGGGTTTGTGAGAAACACGTAGAAGAATTCCTGCCCCTCAGGCTCATCATCATCCAAAATTTGAACTGATACTTTACGTTCTCTTTCTCCATCTAGGAATATAAGGGTAAGAGTTTGTTCTTCAAAGTCTTCTTCTTCAACTGCCCATGTTAGGTTGGAAATCCCATAGATACCACGAAAGGGCAATGCATTTGGTTCCATCTGAGCACATCTTTCACCGAAAGTTTTAACTGTTATGCTGACATTGCCAGTAAACCCACCAGTTCTTCGGATAAGAACTTCTGCAGTGTTGAATGTGCCATTCTTCATCTCCTCTTCAATATAAACAATGGATGGCCCAAGGCTGAATGTTCCATGAATGGAAACATTGGCAGTTACAGTGGCCACATCAGGCTTTTCAGACACAGCAGGTGTGCCATGAAGGGTGACAAGTTTCTCAGGGATGGCAGATACACCAGTTGCCTCAGTAACAATGGCAACCACGTTGGTTGGCTGCAGAATGGTAGTCGTCTTGCTTGTGCTGAGGTATGTGGTGGATTCAGTTTCTACAGGAATGAGAGTTGTGTCAACTGCTACAGCCACAGTTGTCTCGGGGAAGGAAATATCCATTCCTGCCAGGTCATCATTATCCAATATTGTAATCACTGCAACACTGAAATCTAGATTCAGGCGTGGGCTCCAATTAACATCAAACTTTTGTAATCCCCTAATTTCTACTGAAGTAAGGTTAATGTAAAAAAATTCTTCTATCTCAGAAAGCTGATCATTAATAATGGTTATTTCAAAATCAACCTCAGTTTGGAATTTTTGAAAAAACAGTTCCCCATTCTGAACAGGCTCAAAATCTTCCAGTGGCTTGGCGCTTCCTGCAGTGGTCTGATAAGAAACTTTAATAAGATCGCTGTGGAACCCAAATAGTCTTTGTACATGTAATCTGATCATCTGTGTATCTTCTGACACTATGATATTTCTTGAGCTAGTGGAAAATTGGAAGACGCCCATTGGTTCAATTTCAGCAACAATGAAACCTGATCTGGGAAAAAAATTAAATCATGAAGAAATTGATTTTTTAAAAAATAGGAATATGACTGTAGAGATTCATCATTCACATATTTAAAATGCTGCTCATGAGGGCAGCAACTTAACAATGACGTGCCATTTCAAATTCCATCAAACCCTATTTATTGATATGTAAGGGCAAAAGAAATGTAAGAACAGGAGCTGCAAAAGCAGGGACAGGAACTAACAAGTCTGAGCTAAATGAAAAGCTTATAGGTCTCTGGTCTATTTCTCCATCATCCCAGAGCAGCTGTCTGAGGGATGTGAAAATCAGGCTCTCTCTTAGGATCAGTACAAGGGGAACAATATTACTACAATGTTCTGGACCTCTGCCAGCTTTGTTATCTACCAAATAGAAATAGTTACTGGCACTAGCAGTAAAATCCTTGCTTTCTTCAGCTGCCAGTAATGGAACTAACCTCTCATGCAAATGTGGCTAAAACTTTATGTATGAATGAGGACAGACACCCATGATAGAATCATTTATTCTTAGTTTTTTTCCTATAGATTTTTGTTGTGAGTTAATAGCTATATCAGAGGTTACAACTGCTGGTCTCTCGGCCTAATTCTGTCTACAGGTTTATTTTCTTTTGCTAACAAGTTTTTGGTTTTAATATAAATTTAAATGCCTTTAGGGAGGATTCTTCAGGTCCCATTACTCTCTCTTGTCAAGCAGCCAGCACTCAGTACATAAAACAGTGGTTAATACCTCACACAGAGGCCATTCAGCCTGGGTTGAAATCATGGCCCCAACATATATTAACTGTGTGCTTCTGGGTTTATCGCATAATCTATCTATGACTTTCGTCATCTATAAAATGAGACAAATAATATAATCTACTTTGTAAGGTTGCTGGGGAGAGTAAAGAGAGACAGAGCGTGTGTGTGTGTGTGTGTGTGTGTGTGTGTGTGTATTTATGCCCGGCCTAGAGTAAGCACTGTAAGATTTATGCCTGGCCGCGGTGGCTCACGCCTGTAATCCCAGCACTTTGGGAGGCCGAGGTGGGCGGATCACGAGGTCAGGAGATCGAGACCATCCTGGCTAACACAGTGAAACCCCATCTCTACTAAAAATACAAAAAATTAGTAGGGCACGGTGGCAGGTGCCTGTCGTCCCAACTACTCCCAGCTACTCGGGAGGCTGAGGCAGGAGAATGGCGTGAACCCGGGAGGCGGAGCTTGCAGTGAGCCGAGCTAGCACCACTACAGTCCGGCCTGGGCGAAAGAGCGAGTCTCCATCTCAAAAAAAAAAAAACATTTATGCCTGGCCTAGGGTAAGCCCTATAATACTACTTCTTGTTGTTTTTGATACGGAGTCTCACTCACTCTGTTGCCCAGGCTGGAGCACTGTGGCGCGATCTCAGTTCATTGCAACCTCTGCCTCCTGGGCTCAAGCGATTCTCCTGCCTCAGCCTCCCAAGTAGCTGGGACTACAGGCACGCACCATCACACTTGGCTGATGTTTTGTATTCTAAGTAGAGATGGGGTTTTGCCATGTTGGCCAGTCTTGTCTTGAGTTCCTAACCTCAGGTGATCTGCCTGCTGTGGCCTCCCAAAGTGTTGGGATTACAGGCGTGAGCCGCCACGCCTGGCCAAGCACTATAATACTGTTAATAACTATTGTTGCTGTTAAAGCATTTGAATTTGTAACCCTAAAATATGTTCTCTGGATGAACATTTTAAAAATGGCATATGTATAATCTAAAGTCATATTTTATTTCCCCAATGGAGATCCCCCACACATAAACATGTACACAAACATACTTGAATACACTCTAGTTTTCATACCCCAAAATTTTCTTTATTTTACAAGTAAACTGAAGAACAGAAAGATCAAGTAATTTTCTCAAAGTTACACAGCGAGTAAGTGGCAGAGCCAGGACTAAATCCCTAAGTCTGAATAGCAGGTCTGCCCTCTGCTGCTCTGGTCGAGTCTATCCCAGAAATAAGGAAAGTAAATTGCTTTTGGCTGGTACGTATTTATCTGCAAATATACTGTATTTGCAGAAACAGTCATTATAGATACATAGTAAAATTCAATAAAATTAAATTAAAGTCAAAGGGCCACTGGTCCAAATAAGTAATATTATCACCCTACTGTGATGTCTTATTCTTACTTAATCTTATTCTTACTCTTAATCACTTGGGGCAATCAGGTATTTTCAGCTTCTCAGAAGATAGCTGTCTTTAACAAGAGGAGAACTGCCATCATGGCTCTTAGTGGAGATGGTACCCCAGACCCCATTCTCAAGGTGGGGCATGAGGAGCTCTCTTTAGAGCAAACAGTGGGTGGTGGGGCTCCTAAGAGCCACCTCCCTCTCCAGCATGCACGCCACGTGATGCTCTACACTAAAACTATGTTTGTGTTTGCTTCAAGGAGAATAACCCTTGTGCCTTTTTCTGTTTTGATGGATGAATTCCAGATTATTCCTCAGAGAATTTCTTGGGTGAGAATGAGGTTGGTCTTACCGGAGTTGAGCTCCGCCAGGAGCACTGCTCTGCACTCCTGATAGGTGAAGAACAAAGGCCTCTGGCCAACCAGGGCTAGGAAACGTCCACAGGAAAACTCCTTTCCTTTGTTCACCGTGGGAAAATGAAAGGCTCCCTGAAAGAAAACATGAAAAAGCAAAGTAGGGTATTATTTCTTTTCTTAAATTGGGATTTGACTTTTAAAACTGTAGTAGTGTATTTTCTTTTCCAAAATTCAATTATAGTTCACAAAAGGTAAAACATTTTTAAAAAGGGGTCGGGGGAGAGGTAAACTTACAGGAGACCACACAAATCTTGCTTTCGGTCCCTGTTTACTTTTCTCCTTTATATCTTTTTCTTTCCTGGCTCAATGACAAAATCCAGTAGTGAAAAGATACTGGTGTTAGGCAAGCTTTAATATAGACTTAGTGTCAGGCTTTGGTTTAAATTCTGGCCCCAGCATATTTTTAGGATACATATTGAAGTAGATTGGGGTGAAATATCATAATCTATGTATTTTACTTTAAAATGCTTCAGAAAAAATGTCACAAATATAGCAGACTGTAACAACTATTAAATCTAGTCAAGGCCAGGCACAGTGGCTCACGCCTGTAATCCCAACACTTTGGGAGGCCGACGAGGGCGGATTCTGAGGTCAGGAGTTTGAGACCAGCCTGGCCAACATGGTGAAACCCCATCTGTACAAAAAATACAAAAATTAGCCAGGCATGGTGGTGCGAGCCTATAATCCCAGCTACTCAGGAGGCTGAGGCAGGAGAATACCTTGAGCCCGGGAGGTGGAGGTTGCAGTGAGTTGAGATGGCGCCACTGCATTCCAGCATGGGTGACAGAGCAAGACTCTGTCTCAAAAAAAAAAATTAAAAATAAAATAAATAAATAAATCTAGTCAGTGAGTTTATGGGTGTTCACTGTACTTTCCATTGTGTTTGAAAATTTATTACAAAGGCTCAAAAAACTAAATGAACCTGTTTGAAGATACAGATCTATTATTTGGGAACTCCTGTTATTTTAGCTGAATCAAGTTAACATAAACTCACAAAAGCGTTTGAAGACTAATGTGATATGTAAGCACAAAGCCGCATATACACTCATAATAAGCAATATTTCTACACATAAGTCTTTTCATATGTAGCAAGTGGTTACTAACATAAAAAATTTTTGCAAACACCCTAGATTATATGAAGCTATGCATATCACCCAAAGTGACAGAGGGGTAAGGAAGTAAAAGACAAGAGTTTCTGCAGGAAAAAAAGGGCTAGAAAATAAACAGGAAAAAATAATTAAATATCTTTAACTTAGGGGACATGCCAAAAGGAAAACAAGAGGAGACAATGTCTGAGACATCACATCAGGGGCACCTATGCAGTGGCTAAAGAAACCCCAGTATCCAAGGCAGTTATCACACTATGGTGTCTCTCAATCACGCAGCTAATTTCTCTCTTTCTGTTTTCTGGGATTCCTGTTAGGATGGAAGCTGGCATGAAAATGTTGTCATTTTCACTGGCCTAGCCCTCATCCCCCATCTTCTATAGGACCTTAGCTTTCATTCCTTCTTATCTCTCAGTGATGCCGAGATCTTGGGAAAATGAAAATCATTCCCTCCTTTCTGAGAGACTGAGGATCTCAGTCCTCTGCAGGATTCATTAGGTTTCTTACTGAGTGTAAATGGCGTTTGGCTGGTGACCAACAAGACCCTGTGAATCAAGGAGGGAGATCCTCAGATTCAGAGCCCACTGGAGGGTTCTTTATAAACTCTCATTATCTAAATTTGCAATGAGCTTGCTATAACACGGTAGAGGTCAAACCATCTAACATTTGCATCTCACTAGCTCTCAAAGACCTAATGGTATACTTTAAAAAATAAAGTATCTAAAGTAACAGCTGCCCTACTGCCAGAAATAGTCAGGTGAACATGGAAATGCATACAAGAGCTGTATGTATTTTTATTTTTCTTATTACTGTATTTGCCAAATTAGATTCTTAGAACTACTTTCAACAAACTCCTATTGTATGGACAGAGTAGTTTGCTTAGTGACCCCAGTCTTTTGAGGTAAGGCATGGAGTTGTTAATTTGACTGAAAAAAGCTTCTCTCCTTTTCTCACCAAGCAGCCTGCACTACTCTGATCACTTAAATATGGGAGCATTGTATTCGAAAACTACATTTAGTGTCCAGAATAAGGATAACCCAAGACAATTAGTGGCCAGTGATATCCTTCCAATATTCTACAGGACTCATCTTAGAAAAACTACAACTCACCCAGTGTTGGGGTCATGTTGCCAACAACAATGAATTCAGGAATTTCTAACCCAGGAGCATATCCAGTGGTCCAGGCAACCGAGAGAGCTCCATATGTGCCTCTCCTAGAAATCATAACGTGGCTTGTGCCAGCAGTGATGTTCATGAGTTGAAAAGCAGTGGATTCAAATCCGACCTGAGGGAAAATCATGCTTAGAGTATTTTATTTCTCTCTAAACCTTCCTGTTTTCTGAGGAATGGGTTAAACGTAAACTTTCCCTTGGTTTATACAATATATATCCTTGTCTCATACTGAATTAAAGAGAAGTGCTTAAGAAATAACATCTCAGACTTTAAAATTTATTTTACTTTATTATTTAGGTTATAGTTGATAGCTTTTTCTTTTTTTAATCAAAACGTTATCTTTTGAATGAACAACATCCAAAAAAAGATAAGCATAATTATGGTTAAATGAAAGCAAAATATGTTAAATGGCATTTAATATGACTTGTTCATGGGTCTTTCCAGAACCTCATTTGTAGAACTAAAATTTGACTTCTAAGATATAATAGTGTATTTTTTCATTTATAAAGTAAGCACCATGAACTAGACCTTCTATTAGGGTTCTTTTCAGCTCTGACTTAATTTTATATCTTTTTTTGAAGACCAGAAAACTTCAAAGTTTTTTTTTAATACCCATCTTTATCACAAGCATCAAGTAAGATTTTGTTTTATGTGCAACGTTCCCAGGGTATGTGATTTATAGATGAAATAAGTTCTGAGCAATGAGTAAGAATAAAAGCAGATTCCTGGCTTCACATTTTGATTTGAACAATTCAGTTTACCTCTTTTGGTCTCAATAGCTATAAATTTGGGATACCATTTAATCAAGAGTTATATATTAAAACTCATTCTCCCCTTCTTAAATTGGAATGAAGAATAACAGAAAAACATGAGAGGGTTCCGCAGGATAACTTCTGGAGCCACAGAGGAAAAGAAACAACAACTACTTTAATTTGACCCCAGCCTAGATTCTCTGTTACAGTGAGGCTTCTCTTTTTCTTCTTTTTTTTTTCTTGAGACAGAGCGTCGCTCTGTCATCCAGGCTGGAGTGCAATGGTACGATCTCGGTTCACTCCAACCTCTGCCTCCCAGGTTCAAGTGATTCTCATGCCTCACCTTCCCCAATAGCTGGGACTGCAGGCATATGCCACCACATGCAGCTAATTTTCTATTTTTAGTAGACACAAGGTTTTATCACGTTGGCCAGGCTAGTCTCAAACTCCTGACCTCAGGGGATTCACCCACCTGGGCCTCCCAAATTGCTGGGATTAAAAGCATGAGCCACCATGCCCAGCCCAGTGAGGCTTCTGCTTAGCAACTGCCAAAAGCTTTGAGTGAGATCATTCTTGCTACATGACTAGAGGGCTATTTTGAAATGCCCTAGCCACATCACACATACACACACACATGCGTGCACACACACACCAAACACTGATACAAGTATAGAGGTTACACCAAAGATGTGAATGTACCATGATGGACTCTAACCTTGCCCTTTGGGGTGATACAGTATTGTGACAATGTGCATGGATAAGGAGTAGGAAATGTTTTCCTCCAAATGAATGGTTTTGCTGAATCTTTTTTTTTTATAACAACACATGAACAAAAAGAAGACAACAAAATTCAAAGCATTAATCAATTCTATTTCCTCATTCACTCTTAAAGAAGAGGAGGTAAAGAAAAAAAAAACCTTTTACTCTCAGTTATTTTAATAGCCAGTGTATTCTATTTTAAGAGAAAAAGCACATTCATTCTCCTTGGAGAAGATGCTCAGGCGGGAGTAGCTGAAGAGCATCCCTTAGTGGCCAGAGACTATATCTGCCCATATTCCTGCCCATTCATCTGTACAGATTCCACCTCAGCATCTTGAGCCAGGCTTGCCCGAGTCACTTCAGCTCCCACCTGAAGGAGTAGGATAGAATTATATCACACAATGGCTTCAAACATACACACGTTACCATAGCCACAGATAACAGCCTTGTCTTTTTCATATATTGACAGAATCCGCCTGAAAGGAAAGGAAAGCCCTCAAGTTGTTCTTTGTTCTCATGTGCATTTATGAAATGATTGGGAAATAATCTTTCCTACAACGACCTCAGACAGAAGATGCAAATACTTAGTTGCAACCATATCACAGGATCTGACCATCAGCATTTATCTACATCAAGACAAACTCGCCCCTGTAAACCAAAGTCTGAATATTAAACATAAACATTCACAATGTTAGTATGCGAAAAAGTGTGGAATATTAGTGCTTCATTATAATTTTAATTATTTAACATAAAATACCTCAATATTAGATACAAAATATCAAGAAGAGATATGGACATATCTCTTTTTTTCCTACTGAATGTTGAAAATAGACTAATTATTTTATATAATATATCTGTTACATCTACTTTGATATTCACAGAGTTATTTATATTTAAGAAAATAGTTACTCATGAGAAATTCTAGCTCTAAGAGTCTCCGTCCTTCCTGTAAAAGCTGCCCTCTAGTGTTCTGCTGAGAGAACCACACACAGGGCCAATTACCTGAGAATTGGCAGCTTTCTCAGAGACTGGAAGGACAGCAGATTTTGCTTCCTGAAGAATTGTTGGCATTCCATAGAAACGTCCACCGACAAGCATCACAGTCACCAGTTGCAAAGTGAAATTAGAGCCCAGTGATAGGAAGACCTATAAACAAACAGTGTCAGTGATTTAGAAATAATTTTCAGAGAAAAATGCTGTTCTTTGACTTGAGCCATTAGCATAATGCCTGAGGTTGCTTTAGTAGCAAACAGTTTCATCAATACATGCACTTTTCCCCATCACAAAACAAACCACCAGTATGTAGGGTGTGAGATAAGGAGTGGAAGATGTAGAGTATAAAAAACTACAAATTGGCTGGGCACAGTGGCCCACACCTGTAATCCCAGCACTTTGGGAGGCCCAGGCGGGTGGATCACTTGAGGCCAAGAGTTCAAGACCAGCGTGGCCAACATGGTGAAACCCTGTCTCTACTAATAAAAAATAAAAAATAAAAATAAAAATTAGCTGGGCTTGGTGGTGCAAACCTGTGGTCCCAGCTACTTGGGAGGCTGAGGCAGGAGAATCATTTGAACCCAGGAGGCAGAGGTTGCAGTGAGCTGAGATTGTGCCACTGCACTCCAGCCTGGCAACAGTGCAAGACTCCGTCTCCCCTTCTCCCCCAAAAAAGAACAAACAAAACTAAACAAAAAAAACACAAATTTTCAAATTTTTCACATGTGCCCAAATGGCTTCACCAATGACAGTAGCCACACAGGCAGTGTTCATGATAGGATCAAGTATCAAGAAAACGGAAGGGGCACTCTGGCAAAGTGTCAGCTCCTATAAACTTGGCAAAACTCACTTTCCTCCTCCTCATTGAATAATTTCCTCCTCCTCATTGAATACTAATAATTCATCATATTTACTCAAAATGAATAATTTCAGTGTACTGATTTATGTTGGATAAATAAAAATTAATCCTATGTGTTACATATTTTCAAAATTTTAGAATCCAACAAAATAGGGGGAATCTGGAATTTATGTATTGATGTTATGCAAAAAGTTATTTTTGAAACTTACAGCACATTTTCCCATAGAAACGTTGGTCTTGGTAATAACCCCCAAGTTATCTCACAACCTGGAATATTCCCAAAAACTTTGCATATCTTGATTGAATGTAAAAATCAACCATTTCTGTAAAGTCTCTTCTTCTTTTAAATATAATGAATTTAGACAACACATCCTCAAATTTGCAAAATATATACCATGATGGTTTCAAATATTGGGCAACATGAGGGTAACAGGTGTTTTATTCATTCAAAATGACATTCACTGAACATGAATCATGGGTCAAGTGCTAAAAAAAAAAAACAAATAAATCACAGAAAAATTTTAATCATGTATATCGCACCTCTCCTGTAAGAGTGTACCCCTCCCCCCATGAAAGTCACTGGCTGGGCAGCTAATGATTTTTCTTTATCTTTATTTTCCTAAGAGTGAATAGCCAGGTGTCAGCTTAAAGCACCAGGTCACTTGTGCCTTCCCGCCTAGCTCCTCTGCTCACAGGCCCATCCGGTACACACAGATTTGTATGATGTGGCAGATCCCCAGGGAGCGGTAATTAAATGCTAAAATGGAACATGAGTTAGAGCAGATTTGAGGAAAAGCTGGTTCACCTACAGAAGAAAAGAGGTTAGATTAATTTAAAAATGAATTTGAAAGTTTTTAGGAGTTGATCATGTTCTCAATACGCTCTTCCATTTCCGTAATCCAAGACTGCATCACCAATACCATTTTCTATACTGCCTATCATTCGTTCTTTATTTTTATTATTATTATATTTTAAGTTCTAGGGTGCATGTGCAGAATATGCAGTTTTGTTACATAGGTATACATATGCCATGGTGGTTTGCTGCACCCATCAACCCGTCACCTATATTAGGTATTTCTCCTAATGCTACCCCTCCCCTAGTGCCCACCCCGACAGGCCCCAAGTGTGTGATGTTCCCCTCCCTGTGTCCATGAGTTCTCATTGTTCAACTACCACTTATGAGTGAGAACACGTGGTGCCTGGTTTTCTGTTCTTGTGTTAGTTTGCTGAGAATGACAGTTTCCAGCTTCATCCATGACCCTGCAAAGGACATGAACTCATCCATTTTTATGGCTGTATAGCATTCCATGGTGTATGTGTCACATTTTCTTTATCTAGTCTATCACTGATGGACATTTGGGTTGGTGCCAAGCCTTTGCTATTGTGAATAGTTCCACAATAAACATATGTGTGCATGTGTATTTACAGTAGAATGATTTATAATCCTTTCGGTATATGCCCAATAATGGGATTGCTGGGTCAAATGGTATTTCTAGTCCTAGATCCTTGAGGAATCGTCACACTGTCTTCCACAATGGTTGAACTAATGTACACTCCCACCAACAGTGTAAAAGCATTCCTATTTCTCCACATCCTCTCCAGCATCTGTTGTTTTCTGACTTTTTAATGATCGCCATTCTAACTGGTGTGAGATAGTATCTCATTGTGGTTCTGATTTGCATTTCTCTAATGACCAGTGATGATGAGCATTTTTTCATGTTTGTTGGCTGCATAAATGTGTTCTTCTGAGAAGTGTCTGTTCATATCCTTTGCCCATTTCTTGATGGGCTTGTTTTTTTTCTTGTAAATTTGTTTAAGTTCTTTGTAGATTCTGGATATTAGCCCTTTGTCAGATGGATAGATTGCAAAAATTTTCTCCCATTCTGTAGGTTGCCTGTTCACTCTGATGATAGTTTCTTTTGCTGTGCAGAAGCTCTTTAGTTTAATTAGATCCCATTGGTCAATTTTGGCTTCCGTTGCCATTGCTTTTGGTGTTTCAGACATGAAGTCTTTGCCCATACCTATGTCCTAAATGGTATTTCCTAGGTTTTCTTCTAGGATTTTTATGGTTTTGGGTCTTACTTTTAAGTCTTTAATCCATCTTGAGTTAATTTTTGTATAAGGTATAAGGAAGGGGTCCAGTTTCAGTTTTCTGCATATGGCTAGCCAGTTTTCCCAACAGCATTGATTAAATAGGGAATCCTTTCCCCATTGCTTGTTTTTGTCAGGTTTGTCAAAGATCAGATGGTTGTAGATGTGTGGTGTATTTCTGAGGCCTCTGTTCTGTTCCATTGGTCTATATATCTGTTTTGGTACCACTACCATGCTGTTTTGATTACTGTAGGCTTGTAGTGTAGTTTGAAGTCAGGTAGTGTGATGCCTCCAGCTTTGTTCTTTCTGCTTAGGATTGTCTTGGCAATGCGGGCTCTTTTTTGGTTCCATATGAAGTTTAAGGTAGTTTTTTCCAATTCTATGAAGAAAGTCAATGGTAGCTTGATGGGGATAGCACTGAATCTATAAATTACTTTGGGCAGTATGGCCATTTTAACGATATTAATTCTTCCTATCCATGAGCATGGAAATGTTTTCCCATTTGTTTGTGTCCTCTCTTATTCCCTTGAGCAGTGGTTTGTGGTTGTCCTTGAAAAGGTCCTTCACATCCCTTGTAAATTTGATTCCTAGGTATTTTATTCTCTTAGTAGCAATTGGGAATGGGAGTTCACTCGTGATCTGGCTCTCTGTTTGTTTGTTATTGGTGTATAAGAATACTTGTGATTTTTGTACATTGATTTTGTATCCTGAGACTTTGCTGAAGTTGCTTATCAGCTTAAGGATATCTGGGGCTGAGATGATGGGGTTTTCTAAATATACAATCATGTCATCTGCAAACAGAGATAATTTGACTTCCTCCTTTTCTATTTGAATATCCTTTACTCCTTTCTTTTGTCTGATTGCCCTGGCCAGAACTTCCAATACTATGTTAAATAGGGGTGGCGACAGAGGGCATCCTTGTCTTGTGCCAGTTTTCAAAGGGAATGCTTCTAGTTATTGCCCATTCAGTATGATATTGGTTGTGGGTTTGTCATAAATAGCTCTTATTATTTTGAGATACATTCCATCAATACCTAGTTTATTGAGAGTTTTTAGCATGAAGGGCTGCTGAATTTTGTCAAAGGCCTTTTCTGCATCTATTGAGATAATCATGTGGTTTTTGTCATTGCTTCTGTTTCTGTGATGGATTACTTTTAATGATTTGCATATGTTGAACCAGCCTTGCATCCCAGGTATGAAGCCGAGTTGATCATGGTAGATAAGCTTTTTGATGTGCTGCTGGATTTGGTTTGCCAGTATTTTATTGACAATTTTCTCATCGATGTTCATCACAGATATTGGCCTGAAATTTTCTTTTTTTGTTGTGTCTCTGTCAGGTTTTGGTATCAGAATTATGCTGGCCTCATGAAATGAGTCAAGGAGGATTCCCTCTTTTTCTTTTGTTTGGAATCATTTCAGAAGGTAGGGTACCAGCTCCTCTTTGTACCTCTGGTAGAATTCGGCGGTGTATCCGTCTTGGCCTGGACTTTTTTTGGTTGGTAGGCTATTAATTACTACCTCAATTCCAGAACTTGTTATTTGGTCTATTCAGGGATTCGACTTCTTCCTGGTGTAGTCTTGGGAGGGTGTATGTGTCCATGAATTTATCCATTTCTTCTAGATTTTCTAGTTTATTTGCATAGAGGTGTTTATAGTATTCTCTGATGGTAGTTTGTATTTCTGTGGGATCAGTGGTGATATCCCCTATATCATTTTTTATTGTGTCTATTTGATTCTTCTCTCTTTTCTTCTTCATTAGTCTGGCTAGCAGTCAATCTATTTTATTGATCTTTTCAAAAAATCAGCTACTGGATTGATTGATTTTTTGAAGCATTTTTCATATCTCTATCTCCTTCAGTTCTGCTCTGATCTTAGCTATTTCTTGTCTTCTGCTAGCTTTTGAATTTGCTCTTGCTACTCTAGTTCTTTTAATTTTGATGTTAGGGTGTCGATTTTAGATCTTTCCTGCTTTCTCTTGTGGGCATTTAATGCTATAAATTTCCCTCTAAACACTGTGTTAGCTGTGTCCCAGAGATTCTGGTACATTGTGTCTTTGTTCTCATTGGTTTCAAAGAATATCTTTATTTCTGCCTTCATTTTGTTATTTACCCAGTTTTGAGTGAGTTTCCCAATCCTGAGTTCTAATTTGATTGCACTGTGCTCTGAAAGACTGTTATTATTTCCATTCTTTCACATTTGCTGAGGTGTGTTTTACTTCCAATTATGTGGTCAATTTTAGAATAAGTGCGACGAGGTGCTGAGAAGAAGATATATTCCGTTGATTTGGGGTGGAGATACCTGTAGATGTCTCTTAGGTCCACTTGGTCCAGAGCTGAGTTCAAGTCCTGAATACCCTTGTTAATTTTCTGTCTCATTGATCTGTCTAATATTGACAGTGGGGTGTTAAAGTCTCTCATTATTATTGTGTGGGAGTCTAAGTCTCTTTGTAGGTCTCTAAGAACTTGCTTTTTGAATCTGGGTGCTCCTGTATTGAGTGCATATATATTTAAGATAGTTAGCTCTTCTTGATGCATTGATCCCTTTACCATTATGTACTGGCCTTCTTTGTCTCTTTTGATCTTTGTTGGTTTAAAGTCTGTTTCATCAGAGATTAGGATTGCAACTCCTGCTTTTTTTTTTTTTTTTTTTTTTTTGCTTTTCATTTGCTTGGTAAATATTCCTCCATCCCTTTATATTGAGCCTATGTGTGTCTCTGCACATGAGATGGGTCTCCTGAAGATGGGTCTTGACTCTTTATCCAATTTGGCAGTCTGTGTCTTTTAATTGGGACATTTAGCCCATTTACATTTAATGTTAATATTGTTATGTGTGAATTTGATCATGTCATCATGATGCCAGCTGGTTATTTTGCCCATTAGTTGGTGCAGCTTCTTCATAGTGTCGATGGTCTTTATAATTTGGTATGTTTTTGCAGTGGCTGGTACCGGTTTTACTTTCCATGTTTAGTGCTTCCTTCAGGAGCTCTTATAAGGCAGGCCTGGTGGTGACAAAATCTCTCAGCATTTGCTCGTCTGTAAAGGATTTTATTTCTCCTTCACTTATGAAGCTTAGTTTGGCTGGATATGAAATTCTGGGTTGAAAATTCTTTTCTTTAAGAATGTTGAATATTGGCCCCCACTCTCTTCTGGCTTGTAGGGTTTGTGCTGAGAGATCGGCTGTTTGTCTGATGGGCTTCCCTTTGTGGGTAACCCAACCTTTCTCTCTGGCTGCCCTTAACATTTTTTCCTTATCTCAACCTTGGTGAATCTGACAATTATGTGTCTTATGGTTGCTCTTCTCAAGGGGTATCTTTTTGGTGTACTCTGTATTTCCTGGATTTGAATGTTGGCCAGTCTTGCTAGGTTGGGGAAGCTCTCCTGGATAATATCCTGAAGAATGTTTTCCAACTTGGTTCCATTCTCCCTGTCACTTTCAGGTACACCAATCAAACGTAGTCTTTTCACATAGTCCCATATTTCTTGGAGGCTTTGTTCATTCCTTTTTATTTTTTTTTTCTCTAATCTCGTCTTCTTGCTTTACTTCATTAAGCTGATCTTCAATCTATCATATCATTTCTTCTGCTTGACTGATTCAGCTATTGATATTTGTGTATGCTTCACGAAGTTCTTGTGCTGTGTTTTTCAGCTCCATCAGGTCATTTATGTTCTTCTCTAAACTGGTTATTCTAGTTAGCAATTCATCTAACCTTTTTTCAAGGTTCCTAGCTTCCTTGCATTGGGTTAGAATATGCTCCCTTAGCTCGGAGGAGTTTATTATTATCCACCTTCTGAAGCTTACTTCTGTCAATCATCAAACTCATTCTCTGTCCAGTTTTGTTCCCTTGCTAGCAAGAAGTTGTGATCCATTGGAGGAGAAGCAGCGTTCTGGTTTTTGGAATTTTCAGCATTTTTGCTCTGGTTTCTCCCCCTCTTTGTGGATTTACCTACCTTTGGTCTTTGATGTTGGTGACCTTTGGATGAGGTCTCTGAGTGGATGTGCTGCTCCTTTCTGTTAGTTTTCCTTCTAACAGTCAGGTCCCTCTGCTGCAGGTCTGCTGGAGTTTGCTGGAGGTCCACTCCAGACCCTGTTTGCCTGGATATCACCAGCAGAGGCTGCAGAACAGCAAAGATTGCTGCCTGTTCTTTCCTCTGGAAGCTTCGACCCAGCGGGGCACCTGCCAGATGCCAGCCAGAGCTCTCCTGTATGAGTTGTCTGTCAGCCTGTACTGGGAGGTGTCTCCCAGTCAGGATACACGGGGGTCAGGGATCCACTTGAGGAGGCAGTCTGACCCTTAGTAGAGCTTGAACGCTGTGCTGGGAGATCCACTGCTCTCTTCAGAGCCGTCAGGCAGGGAAGTTTAAGTCTGCTGAAGCTGCTCCTTCAGCCGCCCCTTCCCCCAGGTGCTCTGTGCCAGGGAGATGGGGGTTTTCTCTATAAGTCCCTGACTGGGGCTGCTGCCTTTTTTTCAGAGATGCCCTGCCCAGAGAGGAGAAATCTGGCAGTCTGACCCCAGCAGCCTTGCTGCGCTGTGGTGGGCTCAGCCCAGTTCGAACTTTCTGTTGGCTTTGTTTACACTGTGAGGGTAAAACCACCTACTCAAGCCTCAGCCATGGTGGACGCTCCTCCCCCAACCAAGCTGGAGCGTCCCAGGTCAATCTCAGACTGCTGCTGTGCTGGCAGCGAGAATTTCAAACCAGTAGATCTTAGTTTGCTGGGCTCCTTGGGGGTGGGACCTGCTGAGCAAGACCACTTGGCTTCCCGGCTTCAGCCCCCTCTCCAGGGGAGTGAACGGTTCTGTCTCGCTGGCATTCCAGGCACCACTGAGGTAAGGGAAAAAAAAAAAAAAAAAAAAAAACTTCTGCAGCTAGATCGGTGTCTGCCCAAACAGCTGCCCAGTTTTGTGCTTGAAACCCAGGGCCCTGGTGGTGTAGGCACCAGAGGGAGTCTCCTGTCTGTGTAGGTTGTGATGACTATGGGGAAAGCACAGTATCTGGGCCAGAATGCATGGTTCTTCAGGCTCAGTCCCTCATGGCTTCCCTTGGGTAGGGGCAAAAATTCCCCAACCCCTTGTGCTTCCCAGGTGAGGCGTCACCCTACCCTGCTTCGGCTTGCCCTCCATGGACTGCACCCACTGTCCAACCAGTCCCAGTGAGATGAACCGGGTACCTAAGTTGGAAATGCAGAAATCACCTGCCTTCTGCGTCGATCTCACTGGGAGCTGCAGACCAGAGCTGTCCTATTCGGCCATCTTGCCAGCAATTCCTGCCTATTGTTCTTGATGGCATTGGGCACAAACAGAAACGATTTATGGTACCTTAACACCCTGTGCACATGCCAACACTATTTATCCACATGCTCTTATAACTGGCTGTTCATACACTAGACAGGGAGCAACATGGCACCAGGAATTATTTCTCAGTCATCTTCGTATCTGCTGAGCTTCTCACAGTGATTGGCACATAATAAGTGCTCAATAAATGACCCAGCCACAAATATAAAATTCCTCTTGCATTCTGAAAAAGTATTTCAAGCCTAGGCTTGTTTCTTTAGCAGGTCAATGATTCTTATTGTCAGTCTGTGCCTCATAAAAAAAAGCCAGCTGTTAACCAGGTGTTAACAACTTACCAGGTGCTAACAGTTGACACTCGAAGGTTCTGGTGTTAAACCTACATCAAGACTCTTTTGTTCTTAGAGCCTAATGGAAACCTACCCTGTTAAAAGACCCACTTGCAGGTTAGAAGCCACAGCACAGAGGGTTAGATACATCATGGCCCTTGCGGTCCTTCTCTGTGGCTTACCTGTCCAAAGTCTCAACTTTTATCCAAGAAGGTAGAAGAGGGAGGACAGGATGTAAACTCTTGTAACTAATATCCCAATCTTCAAAGAGCAATGGGTTATATACCGGGTGAGAGGGAAGAAAGAAACCGTTGAAAAAAATCTTGTCTTTGGTTTAAGTGCATGTCACACCTTTCCCCAAACAGTTCCTTGGAAGACTAACTCACCAACACCTAAAAATCTATGTGCAGTCTTACACCACAATCCTGGAATGTGCCAGAGAGAAGGAAGCTGTGCAACTTGAAATAGGTTAAAAAGAGATATTAAAGTGACCAAAAAAGAGGGTTTTTATGCATGCATAAACTAGTAAACTTTTGTCACTCTTTATGAAAATAGAAATCATAAAAATAATTAAAATGGGTTCAAAGACAATATTAAGAAATTCATAAATGATAATTCATTTATCATATTAGGAAAGCTAAGTATTTTTATGAAATGCAATGCTAAGCTTTCAAATGAAATGAAAAGTGCACTACCACATGCTTCAAAATGTTCCAGGTACCGTGAAAAACAATCTAACAACTAGGCAGATCAAGGGTGTTAGTCCATGTAATATACATCACATATTTTGGGTTTCTTATGCCTGAGAGCAATTTTGTACTATACACGTTGCTTAGTAAAACAATACAATATCTAATCTTCTCTTTGGCCTGCCTTATTGTCAAATGAAAACTTACTATAAAATGATACCAGCTATTTCTGGAAAAGTTAAAGGATTGCCCCCTAGTGTTCTTTAGCAGCTTATAAATTGAATATGTTCAGAATGTAATGCTATGAATACATGGGAAAATGTTTCGAGTTACACAATTTAGGCATATTGTATTTTTTAAACTTTTTCTAATTTGTAAGTGAGACTTGATACAATGATACTCTGGTTAACTTAATCCACTTCTCTTTTTCCATTTTTGTACTGTTTAGCCTTGAGAGCTGTCGGATACAGGAAATGCAGGTTAGAAATTGATAAAGTAAGGTCATGACATTGAGTCAGTTTCCCAAGGAACTACAACAGGTCTTCAAATCACACAGTTTCACTCAATGCTGTTTCATATAATGTTGATGAGAAAAAAATCAATTGCCAGCCAGGGCAACTGTCCGTGTGGAGTCTGCACATTCTCCCCATATCTGCATGGGTCTCTCCAAGTGTTCCAGTCTCCCCCACATTCCAAAGATGTGCACGTGAGGCTGAATCAGCATGTGTCAATGATTCCAGTCTGAGTGAGTGTGGGTGTGAGTGTGACTGTGCCCTGCGATGGGATGGAGTCCTGTCCAGGGTTGATCCCTGCCTTGAGCCCTGAGCTACCATGGAAGGCTCTGGCAACCTACAACCTTGAAATGGAAAAATAGGGTGAATAATTATTTTGTTTTTATTACTCTTTCTCAAATGCAGGTATAGCTCACATTTATTTCAATGTTTAATTTCAAAGTAGCTGATCTTTATTATAAGTCTGGCGCTGTTTTTGTGACCAGAAATATGCTGTAGGAACTTAACTATTGTTTTTTATATCAATTAGCTTACGGTAAAATTGGTTACATTGTACATCATTTCACTTAAAGCTGCAGTTTCCAAGAACCTGTGGACATTAACTGAGGACATATTGTACAGGAATGTAGGAATAGCTATGAAACCCATGTCTCACTAAGAAGACCCCATTTGTTTTCTTTATTAAGCAACTACAAAAGGCTCGAGTACACAACACATCAAAAGGTAGCACTGTAAGTATGGATTAGTGTAATAGGCTTGTTGCTTATCCGGAAATGATAGCCTATTTTCTATGGATCACAAGTTTATATGAAACTAAGCTGACACTGGCTGAATAACACACCTCCATGAAAGCAGCACCCAAATGCTCAAGCCTTCATGGAGTTGATTTGGGTGTTCCCAAAGGCTTCAGAATTCCCCTCTTCACCATTCCTCGACAGAGAGAATATATTCTCCTTTTTCATTCTCTCTAGCTACATAATTCACCCTGCAAGTTTTTCTCAAGATGACACCAATCTGTCTACTTCTTGGACAGCCTTTCTTGCCCATGAGATAATTAATCCCAATGCCATAATGCATCCAGTGGCAATGAATGCCATAATGCATGCACAGAGGATGATATGACATGTACCATCCTTGGGAGGAATTAAAAAAAAAGTCACTCAATCACTTTCTGTGGTTCAGACTGAGAAAGACTGCTGGGCTGTCTGCTTGAGCCACAGGACATCCATGCATTCTGATCACCCACCCCAGATCTTGGCAGAGCAGCCTGCTATGATTTCTCCTCATTACCATTAGAGAATATCATAGCCAATTTCCTACATTTCAACTTTTCAAAAAGAGAAGCAGTTACCAGTCTCTGTATTCACAAATCCTCTTCATGTAATCTATTTCATTGCACTACTCTTTGCTAGAAGCACAAAGAAGCCTATAAATTTCTCCCCTTTGACAAGTATCAGTGTGTGTGCGTGTGCATACACATGTCCATGGGTGTGCAGGTGTATATGCACACCACTGGAAACATTTCCTAGAACTTTGTAAGTATTAAATAAGTGTCTGTTACTTTCTACACAAAAATCTATTATCTCCATCCAAATAGTAATATACTTATTATAATCTGCAAATGTATTATCCAGTAGTTACTAAACATTTTCGAGGGCATTTTTTTGTGGTTCCATTTAAATACCTGAATAAGATTTCAAACTGATTATGAGGTAAGCATGGGCACTCCTGAAAGGGTTTTATTGGAATGATCAGGAAACTGAAGAAATGCCACAAACCTGATTCTTTATTGGCACCACGTCCACTTTATATGTGGCACCATCTTTGACCACCAGCTGCCTCTCTGCATTTTCGGTAACAATCGGCTGTTCTTTATGATCCGATGATATTCGAAGCCCAACAGCCACATCTCCAAATGTTCCAGCAAGCCGGGTTATGTTAATTTGGATGGATCTAATAAGGTTCTGCCCAATAAGTATTGACTGGCGATCCGAATACAGGGCAAATACTCCATGTGGGTCATCATTTGCATAAACAGAGAACCATGTGATACTCTTCTCCAGATCCAGTTCGGCTCCTCCCTCTACAGAAACAAGCTGGATCACATAATCTTCCTCTATCTCAGGTACCTCATCTGGTAGCAAATGAACATCAAAGCTAGCTTCACTCTCTCCATCAGCAATGGTGAAAAATCCACTGGTGGAAAGAAAGTCTTCAGTAATGTCAAACTCACTACTTAATTCCCAGTAAACCTAAAATAAAAGAAAAAAACTCAACAAAGTTATATAATTCAGTATATTGCACCAAATTCCCTTAAATTATGTTTTTCTCTATAATATACAAAAAAAAAATATAATTGTGCATCACTATATTCAAAGCCAAACTCTCTAAGTATATGTTAGCTTGGAAGGTATATTGACTCAGGCTGTTGAATGCTATTTGCAGGATAAGATTACAAAATCTCATTATTTTACCTGCTTCTAAAATAACAGCACAATTTGAAGGGACACAGAGAAGCAAGCTACCTTAAAAATTCCAGTTCCACAAATAACTTTAGTAGTACACCACACACAGTATTTCAAGGTAAAAAGTAGATAATTTGACAATTCAAATCAGAATTTTTGTTTGTTTTTAATAAAAAAGGACTATCTATGAGATATAAAAAATCAATCATTATTTTCCAAGAATTGCTGGCCTCAAAACTATGAAGTGTCAACTGAAGAAGCACCAGTTAATATCCAATACAGAAAGAGAGGTCAGTGTATAGAGAAATTTCACAAAATATGTTTTTCCTGCAAACAAATTACCTTGATCTGTTAATCAAATATCATGAAAACTTACAAGGGCATCCCCAAACATTCTATCTAAATATACATGCAAAGACAACCTCTTAAAAAACAGTTGCTAAATGGAAAAATTCTAATGAGAAATAAGGCCCTGGAGAATTTACACAAATCATTGAGAGGCTTAAGTAGGAAAGCCTTCACATTATAGCAAACAATAAAATGTAAAATCATTTGGTTCTTTATGATTAAGTGTGAGGAAAATCTTTCTGAACTAACTGTAACCAATTTTAATTTAGAGAGATAGCTAGAGGTTGATGCTGATGAGAGAGCCCAAAGATGTTTAAATAAAGCCTCTGTTTCTCTGAAAACTCACGTAACTTTAGTTTATCAAAAACTTTAATTAACTAGAACATGCAGTTTCCCTGTCCCTCTTAACCACATTTGTTAGGCAAACTGGTACTTTGAAAAATCAAATGAAAAGTAATACCATAATCTCTCCAAAGGTGCCCTTGACTCTTCTGACAAAGAAGGTAATGAGCAGGGGCCCTTCCAGAGCCAGAGGCTCTGAATAAGTCTTCTTAGACAAAGTTTCAGGAGCAAACTGAACAACTCCATTTGGGTCACCAAACTCTTGTATCTAAAAAATATAAACAACAGAGAAAATAATTTATAAAACAATAGGGATGAAATTATAGTATCCAACATATTAACAAACAGAGAAGCTGAGGAAATGAAAGAAACATAAAAATGACACTTGAATATACTCTACTTAGCTACCTAATTTTTGAAAACTTCTTTATCACATTGACTGTTACCTAAAACAAGTAGGTTCTTATTCCCCAAAGATGATGGGAATAAGAATCCAGAAAACTCCCATTTGTAGAATCCCAAGAGAATAGTAATTTGATGCCTGAATTTCGCTTTATTCATCTCATATTTACTACATTTAATCAGTTAATTTTAGCTAAATTCTTCCTACTAGCTATGATATACATGGAGTGAAGCAAACAGGCCCTGTGAGGACTAATTTTGTGTATCAGCTTGCCAAGACTATAGTGCCCAGTTGTTTGGTCAAACGCTCATCTAGATGTCACTGTGAAGGTATTTTGGAGATATGATGAATACTTACAATCAGCTGACTGTACGTAAAGGAGATCACCCTCAAGAATGTGAATGGGCCTCATCTAAACAACTGAAGGCCTTAAGAGCAAAAACTGAGGTTTCCTGGAGAAAAAGGAATTCTGCCTCAAGACTGTAACTTAGGAATCCTGCTTGAGTTTTTAGCTTACTGAACTGCTCTGCTCCACAAAACTGCAACTTCAACTCTTTCCTGAGTTTCCTTCCTGCCAGCCTATTTCATGGATTTTGGACTTGCCAGCCCTCACAATCATGTGAGTCTGTTCCTTCAAATCTCTCTCTCTCCCTCCACCCTGCTGTGTGTGTGAGTGTGTGTGTGTGTGTGTGTGTGTGTGTGTCTGTGTCTGTGTGCATGTCTGTCCTACTGGTTTTGTTTCTCAGGAAAACTCTGACTGATATAGATCTCAAATAAGAGTATTTTACAAACTTCAAAAAAATGGGTCATCCCTCTGCATTATTTTCAGTAGTCTTGGTCCCAGCACTTTTTGCCTTAACTAAACAAGTACCATTTTTTCCTTCAAACTATCTGGAATATAACTAGTTAATAATTTTTACATTCCCTGAAGACAAAGATATCCAATGTTTGGTATGCTATAACAAATACCTCTGCTCTAAAACTGTCAAATATTCCAAAAACACCAAATTTTCTCCAAGCTTATAAAATAAGTATCATATACTAAAATGTTTTTAAAAAAAATATTACCAATAATCAGGCTATGCAATGAGCTGACATGAAAACCAAAAAGTTTGACCCTTCAGAATTATTATGATATTATTTGGTTTTATAATTTCCAATTTATCACAAGCTTATAGAGTTTCAACAAATGTAAATGTATTTTCTGATAAATCCATGAAATCCACATTTTGTGAGAAAAATAAAGCCATACATACGGTTAATGTAACATCTTTAGCTCTGGAGTCTAATTTAGCTTCTCCTTTCACAAGATGAAGTTTAATAATGAATGTCTCTTCAACTTCAATTTCTTCATGAGGATAGATTGTCAGAATTATGGTTCTCACTCCTCCTTCTCCTTCTCCAAAATAGAACAACCCGCTCACTGGGTCTGCAATGTCTCTATTCTGTGGCAGTAAGGCTTCTTGAGAGTTGGGTCCTACTGTCTCCCAGTTCACCTGCGGGATGTTTTTGGTTTTGGTATTTCTTTAATAGAGATCAATTTTAAGCAAAAAACTATTTCAGGGTATCTAGTATTAAGAAAATATATACACATATAGGAAAATTATTCTAGGATAATTCCATCAAATTCCTGTTTCATAAACTTGTTTTTTTTTGTTAAAAATAATGATATTTGCAGCTGGGTGTGGTGGCTCACGCCTGTGATCCCAACACTTTGGGAGGCCGAGGCGGGCAGATCACCTGAGATCAGGAGTTTGAGACCAACCTGGCCAACATGGTGAAACCCCGTCTCTACTAAAATTACAAAAATTAGCCGGGCGTGGTGGCAGGCGCCTGTAATTCCAGCTACTCGGAGCTGAAACAGGAGAATTGCTTGAACCTGGGAGGCGGAGGTTGCAGTGAGCCAAGATCACGCCACTGCACTCCAGCCTAGGCAACAAAGAGCGAAACTCCATCTCAAAAAAAAAAAAAAAAAAGAAAGAAAGAAAGACAAAAAGATATTTGCAACTATAAACTACATACCTATAGTATTCATGAATAATTTGTCATCACATAGGATAAAAACATATAAAAATCTATATTAAAATACGTATTAGAGAAATATAAACATTTTAAAAATATATAAGTACAATACTGTCCTGCTGTGTGCACAGGCTGTGCCAATCAAAACCTATATAAATAAGACAACAAAACCATGGAAAAACTCTGCTGTAGACCATGCAAAAATGCTAAATCTACTTATATTCCTAGTGTAAAAGACACGGAAATCTTCATACATTGTTATAAGAAACAAAGTTTTCTACATTTCTATGATTTGAAATGGTATGCCTCTCACACAATCTACAAAGAAAGAACATTGGGCACTTGTTTTTGCTTCTTAATCTTTCATCAGCAGCCCTCCAGCTGACTATTTCCTTCTTGAAACACCATGTCCTGTCGTCTTGGCTTATGTGATACTCATGTGCCACCTGCTTTCCTAGTTTTCCTCCTCCTTTACTTCTCAAGCTTCTCTGCTGGTTCTCCTTCCTCTGATCTCTAAATGGTGGAAGCTCAGGACTCAGCACCATATCCTTCCTGTTTCCAGATATGCCCCTTAGGCCCCACGTGTTCAAACACCTCCCCATGTGTCAACATCTTCCAGACCTGCATCTGCAGCCCTGACCACCCCACAACACACAGTCGCATGCTGCCCTGCCTATGTGACCACCCTCCCCTGGGATGTCAGTAGTATCTCAGAAGAACACGCCCAAAACAGAACTCTTAATTTCTCCTTGAGCTTCTGCATCTTAGTAAACAACCCTACAAATTATCCAGCTGCTCAAACTTAAATTCAAGGAGTTATCCTTGATTCCTGTCTTTCCCTCAGCCTCTACTTCTAGCCCAATGAATTTTTCTTCCAAATATCAATGTATACCCACTTCTCGCCATCTTTATTTCCACCACCTTGTCTGAGCCACCATCAGCTTTGACATGGAGAGTAGAGGGAAATAAACAGCCTCCTAGCCATCCTTCCTGCTCCTATGCTGCCCCACCAGCTTCTTGAATCCATTTTCCTTGCACTAGACTTAAATGAGCTGCTTTAAAAGACAATCTGGTGACATTGTTCTCTGGCTTACGATTTTCTAATGGCATCCTATTTGCACTTAGAATGAAATCTTTTATTTATTATTATACTTTAAGTTCAAGGGTACATGTGCACAACGTGCAGGTTTGACACATAGGTATACATGTACTATGTTGGTTTGCTGCACCCATCAACTCGTCATTTACATTAGGTATTTCTCCTAATGTTATCTCTCCCCTAGCCCCCCACCCCCCAATAGGCCCCAGTGTATGATGTTCCCTGCCCTGTGTCCAAGTGTTTTCATTGTTCAATTCCCACCTATAAGTGAGAAAATGCAGTGCTTGGTTTTCCATCCTTGTGTTAGTTTGCTGAGAATGATGGTTTCCAGCTTCATCCATGTCCCTGCAAAGGACATGAACTCATCCTTTTTATGGCTGCATAGTATTCCATGGTGTATATGTGCCACATTTTCCTAATCCAGTCTATCATTGATGGACATTTGGGTTGGTTCCAAGTTTTTGCTACTGTCAACAGTGCCGCAATAAAAATACGTGTGCATGTGTCTTTATAGCAGCATGATTTATAATCCTTTGGGTATATACCCAGTAATGGGATGGCTGGGTCAAATGGTATTTCTAGTTCTAGATCCTTGAGGAATCGCCACACTGTCTTCCATAATGGTTGAACTCATTTACACTCCTACCAGCAGTGTAAAAGCGTTCCTATTTCTCCACATCCTCTCCAGCATCTGTTGTTTCCTGACTTTTTAATGATCGCCATTCTAACTGGAGTGAGATGGTATCTCATTGTGGTTTTGATTTGCATTTCTCTGATGACCAGGGATGACGGCATTTTTTCAGGTGTCTGTTGGCTGCATAAATGTCTTCTTTTGAGAAATGTCTGCTCATATCCTTTGACCACTTTTTGATGGGGTTGTTTTTCTCTTGTAAATTTGTTTGAGTTCTTTGTAGATTCTGGATATTAGCCCTTTGTCAGATGGATAGATTGCAAAAATTTTCTCCCATTCTGTAGGTTGCCTGTTCACTCTGATGGTAGTCTGTTTTGCCTTGCAGAAGCTCTTTAGTTTAATTAGATCCCATTTGTCAATTTTGGCTTTTGTTGCCATTGCTTTTGGTGTTTTAGACATGAAGTCCTTGCCCACGCCTATGTCCTGAATGGTATTGCCTAGGTTTTCTCCTAGGGTTTTTATGGTTTTAGGTCTAACATTTAAGTCTTTAATCCATCTTGAATTAATTTTTGTCTAAGGTGTAAGGAAGGGATCCAGTTTCGGCTTTCTACATATGGCTAGCCAGTTTTCCCAACACCATTTATTAAATAGGGAATCCTTTCCCCATTGCTTGTTTTTGTCAGGTTTGTTGTAGATGTGTGGTGTTATTTTTGAGGCCTCTGTTCTGTTCCATTGGTCTATATATCTGTTTTGGTACCAGTACCACGCTGTTTTGGTTACTGTAGCCTTGTAGTACAGTTTGAAGTCAGGTAGCATGATGCCTCCAGCTTTGTTATTTTTGCTTAGGATTGTCTTGACAATGTGGGCTCTTTTTTGGTTCCATATGAAGTTTAAAGTAGTTTTTTCCAATTCCTTGAAGAAAGTCATTGGTAGCTTGATGGGGATGGCATTTAATTTATAAATTACCTTAGGCAGTATGGCCATTTTCACTATATTGATTCTTCCTATCCATGAGCATGGAATGTTCTTCCATTTGTTTGTGTCCTCTTTTATTTCATTGAGCAATGGACATCTTTAACCTGGCTTAGGAGGTTCCATGTGATCGAACATCTATTGGGCCCTCTGGTCTATCCTGTGCTGTTATCCCCTTAACTCCAGGCCCCGACCACATGAACCCCTCCATGCCTGAAACATGCCAGCTTATGCCTCTGCAGAAGCTATTGTTCCTTCTGCCCAAATGCTCACCCTTCTAACCTCTTTCTCCTAATGCATCTTTCAGCTGAAATATCACATCCTCACCAACAGCACTCGCAATTGTGTCTCCCAATTTTACAAGCAGAGCCCTTACTGTTATCAGATCAATTTATTTTTAGTTGTTTATTGCTCAGCTCTGCTTAATAAAATGAAAACTCTGTAAGAACGGAGATGAGGTCTATCTAGTTCCTCAGTATATTCTCAGTACCTAGAACAGTGTGTGACACACAGAAAGCACTCAACAAATACTTGTTGAATTAATGAATTTTATCAGAATCATTCACTTCATTTCTAACAAGCCCTCAAGGTTCCCTGAGGACAGATGTATGCCTTATACATTTTTATGTACTTAATCTGGCTCAAAAGCTGCTGTACACATACAAGATAATTAATAAATATTGATTGGCTGTGAATAAAGAAATATACTTGGGCAATGAGAAAACACACTACCATACTCAGTCTATCAAAAATTATATTTAAAGTCATGGGGAACATAAATCTACCTGAATCTCTCCCAAGAGTCCTCCAGTCCGCTCCAGCACCAGTGATAAAATCATTGTGGAATTGGGATTAGCAATAGAAATTTTGCTTTGATTGAGAAACCTTATAACTCCAAAGGGAGAGTCACTCTTAGCTATTATGATTCTGCTCACTAGGTGGCGCCCAAGGACCGCTCCTCCAGTAGCTCCAGTGAGTAGAATTTCAATGGGCTCCTCAAATTCACTGCATGGCAAGAAGGAGCAATTCTGTGAGTCTAAACATATTAAAGTGCTTGTAAAATCCCAATAACCAGTCATTTTCCAAATTGGTCATACATATTCAAGGCACAGTAGTCACACATCAAGTGGTAAGAAGTGGGTGCTTAGCTAAAAGAATGAATGATTAACATCAATATTACATGACCTAGGGCAGTTGTAGGGACTTTCTTGCCCTCTTTTTAATTGCTTAATGCATAAAGAAAGTGAATTAAAGAATGTTTCCACATTCTGATTAGATTATTTAAGTCTAGAGAAACAGAAAATATTATTTCCTTTATTTGAAATGAAGTGACATATGCAACCACATCGTCTCCTAGCCCCTCTTTCCCTACCCCTAGTACCCCAAAAGTATTTCACCTGTTGTTTTCCAATGGACACATATTATCTAAAGTTCTATTGTCAGTGCAAAACATATGTAAGAGTTTGAACACAATACTTATGTCTTATATGTGCCCACATTATTTTCTATATACCAACCTTTCATTGTCATCAATGATGGAGATATTTATAAAACTTAAGTTTTGCCCATGCTGAAAGGTGACTGTACTGCCATGCAAAATGTAATCAACACCTCCGGGACTGGCAGAGGAGCTCTGAGAGATGAAATCAGCTGTCACATAGCCATAAGTTCCATGTAGCCTCACCACTGGGATCATGATCAGCCCAACATCTTCCTCCACTGTAATGGGAACTTGGAATTAATTGGTAAGCCAGACAGAGCAACTAACTTATAAGATTCAGCCAAATTAAACCTGGCAATTAAACATAATGGCACAAAGTAAGCACTCTATGTTTTCATAGTTCTTTTATCATTTTAAAGGGGGATTAGTGAAAACCTCATGACATTTTTTAGGAGGAACATAGTTTATCAGATGTTGAAAGTTACAGAGAACAGTACAATTAGCATTTAAACAATGTATTTAATCAGTAGCATTGGCATTCTCCCTGTGTACTACATAAAAACAAATGATCCTTGCTTTCTAAGACAATGTTAGATGGATACAAAAAAACATTTAAGTTGTTTGTGCTCATAGGAAACCACTCTGGATTGCTTCCACACATTCAATTGAAATATAAATATGGTAATATAAATAAATGAGGTTTATGATATGTATATCATATGAATTTTTAAAAGTCCAGATACAAGTACAATTTGATTACATTTTCAGTTCCTATGAAATCTACTTGTGAATCTGAAAATGTGTCTTCAATGTTTGATTTCAACTTAAACATTATTTTCAAAAATATATTTCTTAAGCTATGCTAAATTCTGCATATTAAAATATAATTTAATAGGGCTCACATTAGCTATGGCTAAATAATACTCAATGTATATTATAAATATAAATATACACTGACCAAAATTCCCAAAGATAATGAATCTAACAGAAAACAATGAACTGAAAAAATTCCAAGTCTCATTTATTTCTTAATGCAAAAATGTAATATGATTTTTTCCAGGTACAGATTGAAGTTCACAAAATAGTGATGTATTCCACAACTTACCCATAAACTCATTATAAACCAACTCCTAAAGCAATTTTTTATGAACTTTAAAAATGGCTAGATAACCAAAGAATTTTGATAGAGGCAATGAAGCCAATCAGGTTAAATGCAGCAGTAAGATATTTATTTTTAAAGTCATATTCATATTCTGCCTTTGAATAAAATCATTTCCTAGAAAGGCAGCCATCTCTTCCTACCTGGGAAGGAATATAACCATATATTCTGTATTCTGCTTCTACAAGAGGAAAGAATTGGCAATATTAGGCAAGCTGCTACTGGGGACTGTTTCGAGAAAGCAAGATCAAGGATCCAGATACTACCTGCATCTCTAGGCCAGTAAAATATTCATTTCAAAGATGATTATTCATTAGGAAGTGAATATTCACTGATTTCTAGTCACATAGGAAATTAAATATGCACAAATTACAAAGGCTTTCATTAAAATGTTTGAAACAGAAACATTTTAATAATCCTAATGTTAAACATAGTTTTTCTAGACAGGCTTGTTCCTAACATTGCCATTCACAGTAAGGTTCAAGACTACCCAAAGATAACTGAAAATGTATTTCAAATAAGTAAATAAATATAAAAGTGTATATGTGTAAACACAAACACACACACCCACACCAAACTAAAACAATTTACACACGGAAATTCAAACTAATGTAATTTGGAAAGTGGTAGTAAACTTACTTACAAGCTAGCTGACTGAACCTACCTTCGAAGGCAGTATACTTTGGGTCAAATTCAATGATGCCTTCTGCGTTATCATTTTTCATTATTATGATGCGAACAATGGAGATGTTTCCTATTTCAGGAGGTTGATCTATCTGAAGTCCATTTTCTTGAATGGTAAAATCATACCCTCTTCCAAAGTCATACAAATCAAAATAAAATAAAATACAACAACAACAAAAAATACATAATTGCATAGCATGAATTAAAAGATCCTCTTAGCTCCTACAACTTAGTTCTATAAAGTACTGCAATACTTTTAAAGATCCTCAACGCTAAAATATTCTCTTTTTCCTGAAATGATGTTTTGAAACAGATTTCTGTGTTGCTCCCAATGAGTGGTGCCTGTACGAAGCCAAAACTAATATAAAGTTACTAAACTTGGGCAATGGGAAGATAATAAACTGTGAGGAAATCAGAAAGATGCTGTCATAAAATGAACCTTTGGGAATCACGGCTGAATACATACATATACAGTAATAGACCTAGTGCACTCAGAGATAGGTAAGTAAGCAGGCGGCCTTGAGATTTACAGTGTTAGGTTAAGATGATTTATTCAAAGAAATAGTGAGTGTCATGACACTAATTAAATTTCAAACTAAATCATCAAGATTCAAAAGAAATATCTCTCAATACCAACCTGGGCAACATAGTGAGTGAGACCTTGTCTCTACTAAAAACTAATTTTAAAAAATTAGCCAGACATGATGGCACATGCCTGCAGTCATAGCTATTTAGAAGTATGAGGTGAGAGGATCCCTTTAGTCCAGGCATTCAAAGTTGCAGTGAGCTATGATTGTGCCACTGCACTCTGTCCTGGGTGACACAGCAAGACTTTGGAAAGAAAGAAAAAGGGAAAGAAAGAAAAAGAAAGAAAGAAAAATAAAAAAGAAAGAAAAGTATTTCAATTTCTACAGAAACCAATCATAATCAATTCCTCTATCCTTAATATAGATGGTAGTTTACTTCTGTAATGATACTTCTGCAAAAGAAGTCTTTTTTTAGATTAATATTATTCCCATCAAACAAAGCTTCAACTTCCAAGGCTTTAAAATATGACTTTAATTCCTCATGCTAAAAAATGCCGATAAACCATTTTAGTCCTTCCTTCAATTCCCAAATTCTATTCTGGTATTTATACCCTACCTAGAGTTGAAAGGTTGAAAGTTGGCGAATTATATAAAAGGCAAAATTAGAAAATTGAGATTTAGAATATTAAATGATAAGAGTAACTGTTACCAGTAGTCTGAGATGGGCTGTAGATTAGCTAATTGTACTACTTACCTTTTGAGATCAAAGAAAACCTAGAAATTTATCTGGAAGGAAAAACTTGTTTCCCCAGAATTAAACTTACATAGAAACTGCTTTTTAAAAAAACAGTAGCAAAGAAGACAAAATCCTCAAGCTCTAGCTGGTCAGTAACACAAATATGATCTCACACTAAACGACTACTTTTACCAAATTGCATTTATTTAATTAAAATAGTCAGTGATCAGCTCAAACTTTTTACTATATTTACTAGGAGTACAAATTCACTCTCATTGCCAGGCATAGAAGCATTTTTGGGAAATCTAAAATTTGAAGGGTATGTGAGCCCACAATATTTTTTTCCCAGATGGGATGATATACACTTAAGTCACTGAGTAACATATTTTAGTTTAAAAAGTTTTTAAAGCATGATATTCACATTACAAAGGCAAAAATATTTTCATGCACAAGAAAAATGTCTTTATGATTCTTCTAAATGCAGGCATTACTCTAGTTGAAGGGCCCACCTATCTGCTATCTGGGCAGAGATGCTGGTAGGTCTCTCTCAACCTGTGAGCTGCAGAACCTGTGAGTACTTAAACATGCTAAAGATGTTTTTCCACCTCATCAAATCTGCCTCACTAAATCAGGGAATGAAAGAGACTCATTAAGGTTAATTCATTATCTTCCTTGAAAACATGGTGCACATTAATGGCCAACTAGCTTTCACTCAAATTTTTCCCCACTTTAAAACTATGGGGCAAGCATCTATGTCATTCACCCACAGAGAAGACGATACAGACTTCAGATGCACCAATGAAAGAAATCCCTCCCTTCAGCCCTTTCACAAGTATGGAAATCAAAAGAAGCAAATTCAGCCACACCAGCTGACCTCTGATTTAGAGAGCTGTTAGGCTGTGTCTTCACCAATTAGAAGCCGTTATCATATTCAACTTCCTGGCTACCCAGAGTGAGTCCACACAATAGAAACACATACTTTCAATTTTCAGAGGGAAGTTATATTTAACAAAATTAAAAAAAAAAACTCAGTCATTGTCATAATTTCCCTTGTATGTCCTGTTCTAATGTCACACAAATCTGAGAAAGAGTAGGGAAAGAACTGCTTTAGAGCTCAGTATTAATCTCTACACAATAGAACTTTCTCTCTTTCTCTCTGCTCTTTGCTTTCTTTTTCCTAATTGCCTTTCTCCTTTACCTTCCCTGGAGTTCCACCTTTGTAATTGTTAGAGAAAATTCCTCTGGGCCTTCAGGATAGTCATCATCAAGGATTTCAACATGCAGACTTTTCCTCATCTCCCCTGCTTCAAAGAGGAGCTCCCCTGCTGCAGGAACAAAATCCAAGCCTGCTTCCGCTGTCCCGCTCATCGTCTTGTACCAGAGTCGCACATGGCCAAAATCTCCACTGGAACGGATGATTGTGATGTTAACCTATGCAAAATGCATTTTCTTATTTGATTTGGATGTTTAATCTACCAGACAATACTGTCTGTAACTAAACGTTCTATTTACCAGGATTGTGTTAAAATTACATATAAGGTTATAAAATTATATAGATTATATGTTAAAATAATGATGTTTGGAGCAAATTAATCAGTTTATGAAAACTCTGGAATAGAAACAAGAAAACATTTTCATATCTAAAAATAAAAATGATATTAAAATCTTAAGCATTTCATACTATACCCTCTGTGCTTCTGACACTCGAAGTTGCTCATGTGAAAAGGCAAATCGGCCATAGGGAGAGTCGCTGGCCACCACCGTGATGTTGGCAGTGCTGCTGGATTCACTCAGAACTCCTCCCTCACTGACTGCAGTGAGCTGAAACTCATAGAAGCTTTTTTCCTCGGGAATGTCATCGTTCAAAGCCTAGAAAAAGACAAAGAGTCATCAACAGTAGAATCTGTGGAATTTCAAGAAAAACTCCTAACCTCTAAATAATAACAACAGATTTTGTAATATTAATCTCCTCCTCATTCCCACTCTTAATCCCATACACAGGCACCTCCACAATACCAAATGCTGTTACATTAACCTTCTCCCCAATCTCCATTGTCAACCGTACACACACACACCACACACACACACACACGTGCACGCCAACCACAAATGCTGTAATATTTACCTCCTCCCCATCCCCCACTTCTAACCACACACACACAAACACACCCACACATACACATATGCTCACACATGTGCACACACCAGCACAGAGAGTAAAGGGCATAAAAGAAACCAGCTAATATTGATACCTGTATTACTACAATGACTGCAGACTGTTCGTCTCGCATTGTCAGTTTTCCTGATGTTTCAGCAAATTCCCCCACGGAAGGAGGGAATATCCTCCAGAACACTGTGACCTCCCCCAAAATCCCTGGGCCTCGAACAAGGCTACAACAATAAACAAATGTATATCCAATACATTTCAGTTGAAGGTACTTTTCTTAAACATTTTCTCTGTCTTTTAACAGTAATCAATTTTCATCCATTTCAATAACAGTTTTCTTTTAAATAACCTCATTTACCAAACTATAAACCAAAGGAAGTCTTAAAGTTCCAAGATAGTAACACCCAAAGTATTAAGCTAGTGTAAATCTATCTTGACAGGAATACAAGCAAAAACTGATTACTAAAAGCAGAAGGTTTAAAGAAATAAAAAGAAGTATTAATATTTATAGGCTTTTCACTTAACACGCAAGGTACAAAATATGAAAAGTCTAAGTTCTCTAAAGACTGGAAGACCCTTCATATAAGGGCATGCTGATGGGAAGGGATAGTCTTACTTCTGGATAACTACCATGAGGATAAAGTATAAAGTCAAACCCAGCTATGCCATTGATAGTTGCTTCCCATCCCCCATAAGAAAATTTACCAGAAACAAACTTGCCTATGATCATACTAATTTAGTTATATGATAGGCCCTGATATGGTTTGGCTCTGTGTCCCCACATAAATCTCATGTTGAAGTGTGACCTCAAGTGTTGGAGGTGGGGCCTGGTGGGAGGTGACTGAATCATGGGGATGGACTTCCCCCTTGCTGTTTTCCTGATAGAGTTCTCACAAGATCTGGTTGTTGAAAAGTACATAGCACCCCTCCACCCCTTCCACCTGCTCCAGCCAGGTAGGACACGTCAGCTCTCCTTTCGCCTTCTGCCATAATTGTAAGTTTCCTGAGGCCTCCCCAGCCATGCTTCCTGTACAGCCTGCAGAACCTTGAACCAATTAAACCTCTTTTCTTCATAAATTATTCAGTCTCAAGCAGTTCTTTATAGCAGTGTGAGAACAGACTAATACAGACTCTGATTTTAGAACACTTGAAAGCAAAATGTTTGGCCCTGATGATGTTCTAAGGAATGATTTTGTAGCTAAGACACACAAGCTTGCAGAGATGAAATAACTCCCTTATATCACATGTTTAGTAACAGAACAGAGGTGAAAACATAGATTTTCTGATCTCAACTCCATGTGCTTTCCTTGGTGTAATTTGTGCAAATCACTCAAGAGTCAGAAACCTTCTCATGATCTAATATCAAGATAGGTCAGGATATTATTCCAATTTCTGCCCCAAATTTGTTCTCCTCTCCACAGGATGTTAACAGTATATAGAATGTTAATGCTTGAAGACTATGTATGTATTGAGAATGATAAACTTAAGACTAATGATTTAAATAAAACTTCGTAACCCCCATATAGGCAAAGAAAAATCATGAAGTCCTTACCTGATAATAGCGGTACCATTATATTTTGCTGAGGGTTCCCCAATGAGGATGTGCCTAGATGACGGAGCTATCCCAACTTCTCCTGATGCTCGCTTATCACCCCGAATAATTATTGATGCACTACCTAAATTCAAGATGATATAGACCACTTTGTAGCAGGTGCACATAAGCACTTAGTATATGCCTGGAAACTTTCTAAGCACTTTACACACAGGAATCTAGTTCATTCTCATGACTCTCATATCAGTAAGGTATTAATATCCTCATTTTACCTATGACTCTGAAGCACATTGAGGTCTTGAAGACATGGAGGCAAATCGCTTGCCCAAGATTACATTTTAATGAAAGGGGCAGAAAAAAAAATTGGCAGTAATTGCCCTATCATGCTCATGAAAAGCAAGGGCTCCTCTACCATTGGCATTAATTTGTTTCTACAGTAACCATTTTGCAGCTCACTGCAATTGACTACATAGCTATGTCAACTGGCTATATGGCAAAAGCAAGATTTCTTGGGGGCACTTTTTCATTTTTAATTTTCTGACTCTATCATTTGACTGTAAGCATTTATAAACCTGTGTCAAATATTTCTATTAAGATGGAAATAGAAAACTATATCAAGTATTTGAGTATCCATATAACTTAGCAGAAACTTAAAGAAAATTGTTTCCAGAAACACATATTAGGGGTTCATGACACAAAGAGCTGTATCACTATACTCTCACTTTCTTTGGCAATGGATTAATGGAATCAAGAGTGGCTTGTCACAGCAAGTGTCACAGTCAGACAGAAAGATATTAAGAATTAGGTGCAGTGGATCATACCTGTAATCCCAACACTTTGGGAGGCTGAGGTGGGAGGATCCCATGAGCTCAGGAGTTCAAGACCAGCCTGGGCAACATAGGGAGACTCCATCCCTGCAAACATAAAAATAAATTAACTGGGCATAGTGCCACATGCCTGTAGTCCTAGCTACTCAGGAGGCTGAGGTGGGAGGTTTGTTTGAGCCTGGGAATTCAAGGCTGCAGGAATCTGTGATCACACCACTGCACTGCAGCCTGGGTGACAGAGCAAGACCCTGCCTCAAAAAAATTTTTTTGATATGGTAAATGATTTATCCTGATCCAATCATATATTCTTCTATGTTTAATTAGCCTATGTGACATCTGTCATTTTAACATGATGTAGATAACTAAAGACTTATGAAAGAGTTAACTAAAGCTAACTAAAGACTTATAAAAGAATATGGTGCAGTGATGTCATTCCCTTAATGGAAAATATCCTAAATAAAATGCAGAAATTATAACTACCCTAAGTATACACAGTGATAGATACTCTACAATTCTAAAAATTTCCTTGGACATTAAATCTGCTTTTAGTCACATAGGATGGAGTTCTTGATGGCAAAAAAGAAATGTATTAATCACCAAATTTTCATGCTAAAAGTTTCTGAACCAGTTTTTTATGGTTGGTTATTATTGTTTATAGCACAATAAAACCATTTTAGAATCATTACTCTTTTCTCTATGGATCCAAAAAACAAATCATCATATCAACTGGAGGCAAATGAGAATTAAAATGCCTGTTTCTGAAGTGTCAAAATATTTGAGTAACTACTTTCAGATGAAAACAGACGTACATAGGCTATAATGCTAAACATAATATGACACATTTAAAAATAATGTTTTATTACAAAGGTAAAGTGTGATAATTGTAAATATGTTTAGAAAATATAGGTAATCAAAAACCACTATTAACATTTCAAATAAATAATTCCAACCTCATGTAAGACATGCACATGACAAAACAGATTACATTTAGCATGTTGTTGCAAAACCTGTTTTCTTAACGTGACAATTATCCATGTAATTATGTGTTCTTAATTTTTAATGTAATTGAGAGTTTTTCCTGTTATGTCACGTTGAATGGCTGCCTAGTATTCTGACACATTTAACTAGTCTCCTACTGTTGGACCATTTAGGAAGCTGACATATTTTATTTTACATTTTATAAACACTGCTACAATAAACATCTTCATTAGAAAAAAATTACACAGCTAAGCTGTATGAAATCTTTGACCTATGACCTTACCAAGATTGGGTATTATAATTTTAATTTAAAAAATTCTTAACCTTTAATACATGTGGAAAATGGTATCTTTATGTTTTAGGAATTATGAAACCTAACCCTGTCCATTTTTGTAACTACGGGTTATTTTTATTACATTTTTTCTGAGAATTTACTTTTTAATTTCCAAAAATGTGAATTTCTCTTACCTTTTACTGGAGATATTTCTACCTCATCAATTGATATCAGCTGAATGGTGAAACGCCTGTCCTCCTCCAACACTGTGTCTTGAAGTGTGTGCAACACAATGGTCTTCTGGGACTCAGTCTACATCCAATGACAGAAACAGTGCATTTTCCAGATTGACCAAAGCCAAAGTTTGAATGTTGTCATTAGCAGAATAACGTTTATGTCCATAATCATTTTTAAGGGTGTCTTTTTTGTCACTAGAATTACGAGTTGCAGCTAGAAAGAATTACTCCACAAAAATCAGTTCTGAATACAAATTCCACTTAGGTTCTTTATGGGGAAAATGGGAAAAGAATACAACCCCTAAATTTACTGAAAAATGTTAACCGTTGAAAATCCAATCTTTAAAGAAAGCCAAATGATCACACAATGATGTAAACAGACAAAGGTCATAGACTTTATAAGAAACAGCTCCATTCAAAGGAGAAAACAAAGTGTGAATGACATTAGATCACAGTTGTAGGGGCAACCACAGCCCTGAGATGCCAGCCGTTGTTCATCAACACTGGATATCCAATTCATGGTATATTTTGCTGATGTTAAATTAGTAATGGCAGCTTCTAGTTAACAAAAATATCTAAAGGCAGCAGTAAAGGGCCTAATTCACAAGAAAATGTAGTTTTTCTGTCTAAGACCTTGGTCTTTTATATGCATGTTTCAGTTTTCTTTTACCTTCACCTTTAAGATTTTGTTTTTATCTTTACTCATATCAGTTCCACTTGTTTCTTGCTGAATCTATTCCTAGGTATTTTATACTTCTTTCTCATAGTACATTGTTTCTCATTACTGGTAACTCATAAGAATGTTAATGATTTTATTTTTTCTTATTTTTTTTCTTGGATCTCAGGTGCATAGTTTGAATTGGTCCTACTTCGGTCAACAGCATTGTTTCTACTGGACAACAAATGGTCTTTTATTATAATTTATTCTTTTTGACCCATTTATTAGCCCATTTCGATCTCCCTTTGCAAAACTCTTCCCATCATATTATTCACTCTAAAATGCACTGTGTCTCCTTAATTTTTCCTTCAATGCACACTGTTGAGGTTACCCATGTTTTCTTATGTAGACTCAATGTATTTTTTTTTTTTTTTTGAGACAGGGTCTCACTCTGTCACCCAGGCTGGAGTGCAGTGGTACGATCTCAGCTCACTGCAACCTCTGCCTCCCAGGTTCAAACTATTCTCCTGCCTCAGTCTCCCGAATAGCTAGGATTACAGGTGTGCGTTAACCATGCTCAGCTAATTTTTGTGTTTTTAGTAGAGACGGGGGTTTGCCATGTTGGCCAGGCTGGTCTCAAACTCCTGTCCTCAAATGATCCACCAGGCTCTGGCTTCCCAAAATGCTGGGATTACAGGCATGAGCCACCGCTATCAGACTCAATGTATTATTTTCATTGCTGTGGGGATTCCATTGTTTGCCTTTATACTATTTGCAAGATTTATCTGACAATGGCTATTTACTATTACAAATAATATTGCCATAAACATCTTTACATACTTCTTTATATGTACAGTAATTTCTCCAAGGTGCTACTGATTTTATATACAGTTGGTTCCTCTATTCTTGGATTCCTTATTTGCACATTTGTCTACTCATCCAACTTTGTAACCCCAAAATCAATATTGAGCACTTTTGTGGTAATTTGCAGACATGTACATATTGGCAAAAACTTAGAATCATTCAAATACATTTCTCATGTTTAATAAGCACTATGACTCACACCTGAATAAAGTTCATCTAACATACATATTTTCTACTTAGGGTACATCACAGCCTTCTTGTGCTTAGGAACGCCATATTTCAGCACTATACTTGGGGGCAAATTTAAACAGAAAACTCACCAACAGAAAGCACAAAAATTTAAAAAAGTGATAATAAATGGACTGGAAAAAGAACATTTGTTTACAACATGAGAGCTGAAACAAAGTCAAGGTGTTGGCTTCTTCAACCTCGGCTGGAAATGCACAAATCAGGTGAATCAAATTCTCCAACACTTTCTGTATGTCCCTGAATGACCATGAAAACACCAGAAGTATCGACTTTGGAGGTTGCAAATACACCTTAGTGAGTAGGGAAATTCACAAGTAGGGGATTGTGAATGATAAGGATTGGCTACTGTGAATCATGAGAATCAACTATATTTTATATGTTTATATTGCCTTCCACCTTATCTACTGTATATGTAAGGCAGCTCTTCATATCATATGCTCTTCATTTCTCAAAGAAATCTACAACCAGTAAGAGGGGGGAAAAGGGTGATTACAGGTGGAAAATCCCAGCCAATGGTTACGAAAGATAGTAATAAATGTTCTGGGATAAAAAGGTGATGGGGAAGTTTCATAGGGGAATAAATTCCGAATATTAGAGATTCAAAATGGAATTCAGTATATTAAAGTGTCTAAAAATAATCCTGCATAGAAAGAGCCTACTTAGCTCAATCAAGGTTTTCCCAAGTCCATGTGAACCTGGAATCCCTTTCTTTCTTTAAAATTCAGAACAATTATTTCTATTCTGCTGAATAGCAGTGCAGAGCAACAGTTTGAGAAATGGTACTATATATAGGCTATCTCAGGAAAATAGAAATATAAATTTTTCCTGTTTTTAAAAAATTTAAAACCTTTAATTTTTTATTCTATGATGTAGAAAAGGTGTTGAATTTTAAAAATTTAAAGCCTTTAATTTTTATCCTATGATGTAGATATTAAGTTGAGGTAGCAACCTGCTATTTCATTAAAATGTTTCTAAATTACAGTTGTTGTATAAAACACTTTCTAAATGTCTGTAAATTGGTTAGTTTCTTCACAAACATTATTTCATGCAATACTCAGAGCCTTTGTTTAGATTAAGCCTTATTATCCTCATTTTGCAACAAAGAACCCAAATGTGAGAGAAATTAATTTTCCTAAAGTCACATGGCATTAAACAGTAGAGTGAAGATTTGGATTAAGGTCTAGCTGGCTATAAAATCTATATCCTTTTTACTTTTCAGTGGCTACTTCCCATATCTCAAGAGAACCAAGATTGCGAAGATAGTAAAGGAGAGGAAAATAATACAAATATAGGTGATGGAAGTCTGCAAAAGTATATAAACATTTGGGAAAGGAGAACTAGACAGAACTAAATACTAAACAAGAAATGTGAATCCCAGAAAGATATAAAAAATGTAAGAGAACTATAAACACCACAGTAAAACAGTGCTCATGAAGAAATGTCAATAGTATCAAATACTAAGGGGAATCTATGCAATGAAAAATATGTAACCAATTTTTTTAGTGCAATGGATTTTAGCTAGTATGAAAAAGAAATGTTTAAGATAGATTATAAAGTAAAAAGAGCAAGTTACTGAACAGATTGCAGTGTAAAATTCCATTTGTGTAAGAATAAGACACATATGTTTGGATACGCATAAAAATTTTTCAAAGGGTATATAAAAAACTGTCAATAGCGGTTACCTCTGGGAAGTAGGAATATAAGATTCAGAAGGAGTCAGGGGAATTTTACTCATTTTTCTACATCCTTCTGTACTGACTGAGGTTTTTTTGTTTTTGTTTGTTTGTTTGTTTGTTTGTTTTCCATGAGCACATATATTTTTACAGCAAATTAAAACAAAGATGTAGGAAAGAGACTTCTGAGTTAAACTGGCAGAGACTGGTTGCATGAGTTGTGCCTTCTTCAAATGCACATGTAGACACCATAAAGGGCCAAGACTAACAGAAAGAAAGAAACTAAAGATTAAAATCTTTCTAAAATACAGGTAAAATTTCACTAATGAAGGAATCAGTTTGGAGTAGACTAGAGGATACACATTCCACGCCATGAACCTAAATAACAAGAAGTACCACAAAGTGGGTGTTAAGGTTTGGCTGTGTCCCCACCCAAATCTCATCTTGAATTGTAGCTCCCATAATCCCCACGTCATGGGAGGGACCTGGCGGGAGGTGTTGAATCATGGGGGTGGGTTTTTTCCAGTGGTGTTCTCATGATAATGAGTAAGACTCACAAGATTTGATGGTTTTATAAAGGACCATTCCCCTACACACGCTCTCTTGCCTGTGGCCATGTAAGACATGCCTTTGCTCCTCCTTCATCTTCTGCCATAATTGTGAGGCCTCTCCAGCCATGTGGAACTGTGAGTCCATTAAACCTCCTTTCCTTTATAAATTACCCAGTCTTGAGTATGTCTTTATTAGCAGTGTGAGAACAAACTAATACTGGGGGTAAGACCCATTTCCTGACTTCTTTGAACTCCAGGCCACAGAGACTACACTAACCAAGAATAACTGGCTGCCACCTACCTCAGAGCTTTAGTGTTCCCACTGTTATCAGCTCTTTCATCTTTATATCAATTCTGAGTTTCCAATTCGTAATATGTAGAGAGTAAAAGGAATGGGAATGATGCACTGCATCCCAGAATTACAGATTTTTCATAAGTACATCTAATGAGGTCTCAGGCAGGGAGCACATATTTTCCTAGAAGCCCTTACAAAATTTTTTAAATGTATATATTTTAAAAATAACAATAAGCAACTATGAAGAAACAAAAGCTTGAGTGAAGAGATTAAAATAATACTATTTAATAATAAAAATCTCAAAGAAAAAATGCAATTGCAAAACTACAATGTTCATGAGAAACAATAAAATACAGAATTCAAACTGCAGAAAATTTAATCAGTGATGCATAGGACAAATTCAAGTTGTTTTAGAATGCAGAGGAAAAGGTAGAGATAAAAATGATATGCATCATGATTCTCTCTCAAAGTATTGGCATAGTTGTTCTCTGTATATTTCTTTCCTCTTATCTTCCCAGGACCATTTTATTTTTACCAGCCTACAGTGATACTTAACAAAGTTTCTAGAAGTTACTCTGCTAAGAGAAAGACAAGAGAGGAAAGACATAATAGGGAGTACTCTTGGGACCAACAACAGTGGATGGGGCAGGAAGGAAACAGGAATGGGTAGAAGGCAAAGAGTCAAAGTGGGCAGTGAAAAAATAAGGTATATCATAAAAGACCAAGGGAAAGAGAGGGAGAGCTTTTCAGAACAAACTTCTCTTGAACGTGGCTGTACCCTGCATCTCAGTGGTGGATGCTCTGATGTTCACTAAGATTCCCCTTCTGGAAAGGACTTATTACCCTCATCTGACAGGCTCCTTTGCAAATTGTCTCATCTGAAGACAACCCCTTCTCACATGGTCAAATGCTCTTCCTGGCATGGTCCATACACAATGACTGCTCAACACAAGATTATAAAACTCACCATCATTCTAACTCAGACAGCTCTGAAGGGTCAGTCCCATTTCAAAACAAACTGTAGTATACTGTAGCATCAGTTTCAACTGCCTCATGCTTTGCCTTCATCCCTGCCCAATCTTGCTTCTTTCACTTACACAGGTGTTGACCTCAAGAGCACTTCCTAAAAAGCCTCTGGACACGAATCTCCACCTCATAATTTTCTCCCCAAGGAAGGTAAAGTGCAATATCCCCCTGACTCATCACCTATAGACCATTCATCAGTTCCGGAGAGTTGTATGTTTCTATAAACAAAGTATGGAGCTTAGTTGTCCTGCATAAAGTAGAAATAGGAAAGAAGGACTTTGCCCTGTTACCAAGGTAGGACTGAACAGAATTATTGTGAGAATTTCCCTGTAAGATGGGCAATGGTGACTCCACAGTCACTGCTACATTTTGAGAAAGTCCAGGAAACTATTATACAGTAAGTATTGGTACAACCTGGGATGTACCGTAGGTATAACAGCTTCTGTAGACTAGGTTTCCTTATTGCCAATGTGAATACTAAGTTGCTATGAGAACGATTTCCACCTGGGCATTATTGATGGAGTGGATACCACTAGCCATAAGTAGAACTGAGAGATGATGAAAGACATCCTCAAAACCAAATTAGAACCCGTGGGAGACATAGATCTTTGTATATATTCAGAACTAGACATATAAAAACAATGGAGCCGTTACACAGTTGTACATGAAATGTACCAGGCTGATGACCAAACAAGCAGATGGAGAGAGTGGAATCTAGAAACAACCCCATGCCTCCTAATGCAGTACTCTAAAAATGGATGAACTTATTCGCTGGAAGAAAAGATCAGACTATTTGCCATTTTAATGTAGATTTTATGCTCAAAACAAGAAAACCTTTTTAATCACCTGGGAAGTGTATCTAGCAGTAAGAATCTGGTAACTGGGAAATTATTGCTTCTTATTACTGAGGAAAATCTTTATAGACATTTGAAACTAATTTCTAAATTCTAAATGCTCCTCAGGTGAGAGGTTTTCAGATCATGGCTAGGGCACACAACCTAGATGTTTCATGAGTCATCATGTGTCAGAAGCTGAGAAGTAAACGGATGATATTCCTGCAACATCTTGATTGAGATTTAATACCATTAGGGTAATCACACCTCAAGAATGATGGCAGAACATGTGCATGGCAAATAGACTGCCAGAGGGCATCACTGATGACTTCCTTAATCACATATTGCAATACCGAAGGGAAAAAAGGTATTCGTTTCTGTGCTATCTCATGTTGAAGGCTCTGAAGAAGAGTCATTAGACTGAAAAAAAAAAAAAAAGTAAGACATGGACCATGTAAACATATTTGGTGGAATTCCTTTGGAAAACCACCTACTGAGCTTTTAATGTTTTTAATGTTTATTCTCCATTCATTTTCAAAAGTGCATAGGTTTAGACTTTCTATATCTGCTGTATATCTGCTAGAGCCAATTTCACATAGGTTTTTAAAATTTATTTGTCGACATTTATATAGTCTCTTACAATTTTCAATATTTTCTCTTTTAATAATTATTTCCTTCTCGTCAATTCTTATTTTCTAAGTTTTTTAATTTATGAATCAGGTTTTATTGGTATTTTTGTTTTTTAATTAATTGCATTCTGGTTTCATCTTTATTAATTTAAGAAAGCTGTTTAGGTATTAAGAAAGCTGTTTAGAATCAAACATGATTCTAAAAGCAAAAACTATAAAACGACTGACAAATCTGGACTATTTTCTTCTCTCTGGCCTGTTTGTTCATCCCAGAGCAAATATCACACTGCCTTATTTACTTTAACTGTGTATTATCTGACACATTGGCTAAGTAGGGCCACCCTCCATATTCTTCTTTGTGAGTTGCTGGCTATTCTTGGCATTTTGTATTTCCATGTATATTTTATAATCAGATTGTCTCTTCCACCTCCCCATCCTCCCTTCCAGAAAAAGACTTAGGAGTTTGACTGGTAAATACCACTGTCCTGTGGTTAGGTTGGAATTATTCATTAAAAACAACTCTGTGCTCAGCTTAACTGGGCCCCATATGCTGCTTCCCCACCTTCTTTTGATTATTAAAACTAGCCAAAGAAGGGAAAGAGGAGGAAGAAACTTGAGTGCACACAGGCAACCAGAAAAATCGCATCCTACAGTGGGTTGGTTGATACTCCAGCCAAGGTTCTCAGGCTCATGCTGATGAAGACATAAAGAAACAGATCTGTAAATGTCCGACCAAACTTTGAAAAGGGGAGTCATTCTTACAAGTTACAGAAACCAACTCCATGGGCCAAAAGATTATGTTCCCCCTTCAAAGTAGATAGGACCTTGCGCCTTCACTTCTTATCACTGTGGGAGGCTGAGACACATAAAGATGGACTGTAATATGCTTGTTATTCTCAAACTACTTATTGTGTTTCAGTTTTTTGATTGGCTGAAATACTTCCTTAATTTTTTTTCAAAGTGTACATGGATGTTAAAAACTACAAGTTTTTGTAAGTTTGACATTGTCTTATTATGTTACACCATCAGTATTTTGAGTCAGTATAGAAGTTCTCCACAGTCAGAATAGTCAGAAAGCACACTTAAAGGGAAAACTGACTAGACTTGGTAACCAAATACATGTAACGATTACAGAAAGGGTGCAGCTGGGGATGATATCCAGACATCCAGCGTGGTTGATTGGCTTTGCCTTCAATCAGAAGAGGAAAAATGTGAGAGAGGGGTAGTTTTGATGGGAAAACAGGGGCAGAATCTGAACTTAAAAATTTGACTATAGATCAGACACAGTGGCTCACGCCTGTAATCCCAGCACTTTGGGAGGCCAAGGCGGGCGGATCATGAGGTCAGGAGATCAAGACCATCCTGGCTAACACAGTGAAACCCTGTCTCACTAAAAAATACAAAAAATTAGCCAGGTGTGGTGGCGGGCGCCTGTAGTCCCAGCTACTCGGGAGGCTGAGGCAGGAGAATGGCGTAAACCCGGGAGGTGGAGCTTGCAGTGAGCAGAGATCGCGCCACTGCACTCCAGCCTGGGTGACAGAGCAAGACTCTGTCTCAAAAAACTAATTAATTAAAATAAAATAAAATAAATTTTTAAAAAATTAAAAAAAAAAACAGCCAGGCATGGTGGCACATGCCTGTAGTCCCAGTTACTCATGAGGCTAAGGTGGAAATGTTGCTTGAGCCGGGAGGTCGAAGCTTCAGTGAGCTATGATCGCATCACTGCATTACTGCCTGGGTGACAGAATAAGACCCCTTGTCTCCAAAAACAAACAAACAAAAAAAAAGAATTTGACATAGGTAACAATAATCTATTGTACATTTCAAAACAGCTGCAGAATAATTAGACTGTTCCTACCATAAAGAAAAAATATTTAAGGTGATGGATATCTCAATTACTCTGATTTGATTATATGAATGCATCAAATTATCACATGTACTCTGAAAATACGTATATCAATTATGTAGCAATAAAAACTTCAAAAAAAATTTGATTTCAGATATCTAGAGTTTGTGTGTGTGTGTGTGTGTGTGTGTGTGTGTGTGTGTGTGTGGTCTGTGATTTTTCCCCCCATCATGCATATGGATTTCCAAAAAAATCCCAGACATAGTAAATATTATCACATGAATTTACAAGTAATACTATGCAAAAGAAAATCAAAGACAGCTCTCGAGGTGTGGCCACACAGGGTGACTACAGTCACCATTCCCCTCAGCAGTGACAGCACAGTGCACAGTGCCCAGTGCCTCGAGCAGATGGCTCTCTAGGGACATCAGGTGCCAGTTCTCCTCAGGAAGATGATCAAAGTTACTGGTGAAAGGCCCAGTTCTGAACAGAAAACTGGGGGAAGAGAGCCAGGATCTGTCAGAGGGCCAGTGGGAAGAAGCAGGGTGTAGAAAAGGGAAGCAGCAAGAGTCCACAGAGATTGACCCCCAAGGAGCTTGGAGCCCCATGGAAAGTAGGTGGGAGTGCTTCTCTCCTCCCCTCACTCCTCTGACAATCTCCTGACTGCCAAGCTTCTAAGGAGCCCCTCTGTGCTAGTGACCCAAGACAATGCTATAAGTGGCTATTCAGGAACTTCCCAGGGACAGAGAACCAGGTTGCTAGCTTGTGCAGGCACACCTATGTTTCCCTCAGACCCAAAATGAGATGGAGGGTGCCATACTGGTTGTGTACCCATAGTGCCACTGCCCTGCCTGAGATCTCTCTGCTCTAGAGTCACTGTACCACCAGATCTCCTGCAAATATACCCCACAACTGGCTCTGACGTTGGGAAGCATGGGGGACAGGTGGGTCCCAGGGGGCTAAAGGACTTCTGAAGATCTAAACCCACAGTGTAGGCTGCCCATAAGGGAGGGGGAGCACAGCCCATCAAAGTCCCCTTGGGACAAAGGAAATGCAGGCATGGGGCCAGTCACTGAAGGGGGCAGCACCAATGCCTAGGGACAGTCGTAGAGAGGGAGTCATCTCCCACTCTAGACTGTTGCAGACACAGCTGTGGTTCTTCCCACTGGTACTTAGTGCATACACACAAAGAAAGCATTTTTTGTGTGTGCTTTTTTCAGTGGCTCAATCCCTGCTGAAAGTAAGCTTGTGCCACTTGGGCTTACAGGAAGAACAGGGCCCAACTCCCCGCCTTTAGACAGAGCAGCAGTGTCCCAGCAATGGCGGACAGACAAGTTGTGAAGTTGCTTGCCCTGGAGTTGGGGAAGAGGCCTTGCCCTGAGCCCATTTTGGTAACAGCTCCTAGAGGGGCATATCTGTGGCCTGCAGCTGCACTGCAGAGCCAAAGGACAAAGTCTTTATGAATTGAGTCATGAGTCCTGCAACACGGGCACGAGAGGGAAGCAAACTTCATTCCTGCTGGCTCAGGACTAGAAGTTGGTACACCCCCTTATCACTCCCCAAGAGACCCCAATACATTCCAACATGATCGCTTTTTACCATCCTTCCCTCCCTGCAGCCCACACCAGGGCAGGTGCTTCCACTCAACATCAGACATCAGTCAACCTATTCCCAATAGGAAGGGTATGGAATCAACTTTAGTGTCCATCAACAGTGAACTGGATAAAGAAAATGTTATAGATATACACCATGGAATACTACACAGTCATATAAAATAATTAAATCATGTCCTTTGAAGCAACATAGATGCAATTAGGAGCCATTATCCTAAGTGAATTAATGCAGAAACAGAAAATCAAATACCATGTGTTCTCACTTATAAGTAGGAGCCAGACAATGGATACACATGGACATAAAGATGGAAACAACAGACACTGGGGACTACTTGAGGCAGCAGGGTAGGAGTGGGGTGTGGGTTGAAAAACTACCTATTGGGTACTATATTCACTATTTGGGTTATGGGCTCACTAGAAGCCCAAACCCCAGCATTATGCAATATACCCATGTAACAAACCTGCACATGTGCTCCCTGAATTTACAATAAAAAGGAAAAAGAAAATCAAAGACAAATTGGGGAAAAATTACAGGAGTGCTAATGCTGACTATACCTCATCAAAATGAAGGGTCCCATTCAAAGGACTAAGGTTATGTTTAGCCTTCTCATCTATGGTCCACTCAAGTCGGACGGTTCCTTTTCCTCCTGGGGACCGGACAACCGTCAATGTCACATATGAATCAGGGTCATCGGATGAAAGGGATTCATCAATCATTACCTGAAAGAAGAAAATTCAGTAAGGCCAAACAAAAAAAAAAACAAAAAGAGCAGGATAAACAAGTAGAATCTTATTTCTGTTTACAATGACTGCAGTTTTATAATTTAGAATGTTACATGTAATTATCATGTGGCAGAAAAATTTTTTTTACCAAATCCCACTTTCTATTCCTAGATGCTCAACTAGTTGGCATTTCCTGTCTTCTCTTGCAATTAGGTAGAGCATGTGACTGAATTCTGACCCAGAGAATAGAGGCAGAAATGATTTATGCTGCTAATACTCTTGCCATAAACACCCACACAAGACCCCACATCCTCTACTTTTCCATTTGGCAGGTGAATAGAGAGGAGGCCCAGGACCTAGAAGAGGACATAACCCCAAGATGGACAGAGTCTAGGGCCTGAGAGCTGCCAGCTGAATAAGAGGTGTCCATAAGCATCAGCCAACTGGGCACGCTGGTGCAGGATTCCTGCGTGAAGAAGAAATGCACATTTACCATATGAAGAAACTGAGACTTGGCGGGATCTTTGTTACTACAATCAGGCTCCTCACATAATACAGACCTAAACTGTCCTCTGAATTATGGTGTACCTACTTTAGCGAGTCAAAATTTAAAAGTGGTTTTTATTAATCTGAGATAAAGAGAGGAGATTCAATACATTGATTTACCAGAACTATTTATTTTGCATACAAGTCCTTATTAACAGATCTAGTATAAGTGAAGTACATATGTTGACTCTGTGAAGCAAAGTTCTCATTGAACCTATATCATCCATCCGCTATACAAACAGAAAATATAACACAATGCTTTCCACTTTCAACACGGATAGAAGCTTAACATGCAATACAATCTTGTTTTGTTTTCTTCATGAGATTTGCATTGATGTCAACAGCACAGATTTAAAACAAACTGAAATGAGCTTCTATTGTGTGTCAGTTCTTACATATACCTTATCTTATTTAAGCCTCATAGAAACTCATAGAAATCTGAGGGCCAGATATATACATATATCTGGAGATGAGGAGCCTGGAGTCTAATTAGGGTATTTTGACTCCAAACTGTTCATACCACTCCTCAGGGACCAGTGAAATTTAGTAAGAAAAAAATAGAGAAAATCCATTATATAAGTCTTCTTTGATTCCATAGATGTAACATTTTAGTTTAGGTTTCACAAGTAGATTTCCATGGGTCTCTGCTATTCTCAGGGCTTTGGTATACTTAACCACATTGCCCTTGTGAACAGCTTGTTAATTTTGATGGATTTATACTAACAGTCTTTTCTCAATGTACCTCAGCTGTGAATCTAATCTGTGTCACCGAATAATGCTAACAGAATGTTTATTGTGTGCACAATATTGTATATCTTATTAAGGTTAAAAGATAAACTTCATGTTACCAAGAAACTTTTGTGATAGGAAAGACAGGATATAAGCAAGGAAAAAAGTCACAAAGGGCTGAGCATCATGCAGCTACTATTATCATCAACAATCAAAATAGCCATGGACATCTAATGAATTAAAGCTCAAGCACGCATGCTTTACATATTCAACAATACAGTAGGAATTGGGTAACCTAAATCTTCCCTTTAGACTCTAAGACAAATTGAAAATTTGTAGCTGTAACGATATTATTTCCCAGAACAAGTGTGCTTAACACTAGGTTTAAAACACTAGAGTTTATGACCGCAGTTACAATAAAATGAACAAAAATTATTTATGAATACTAGTGTAGGTCTTCATTTTCTCTAACAGTAAAAGTAGATTATAAACACACTGTCCAGTGCCCAAGTCCAGAAGTTTGATGAAAAACGTTATTGTGAAGTTTCATCAATTGAAGATTTGAATACTAAATGCTGAACTTGTAATCTAAACTTATAAGCTAAGAGACATTTTATAAAAAATAAATTACATATTCATGTGTAATTTTCTGCTGCTTGAGAGATATTCACAGTTACTCTTTTGCCAATCCAACACTCCTTACAAACACAGCTGCCCATTTTTTTTCCAAGGACGAGCTCATTGGGCTACAGTGAAAGTTTGTTCTCTCCCTCTTACAGGTCCCATTTTCTTATGAAATTGAAATTCAATAGCCAAATCCTTATTTGTTATATTTCAATTTTGGAGCATCAGGAAGTCCAGCCCTTGCAGGCAAGCTGTCAGTCTAGCCTTCCATCCACAGGACAGTAGACAATGGGCATTTCAGCAATTGGTTTATTAATTAAAAGTGATCTATGTGAATTACTGACAACCTATAAGTGATTAAATGAAGGGAATGGTGACATATGGGGCCGGAAAAGTTGCTGAGTATATGGGGATTATCTAAATATTTTTATGGCTAATTCATACCTTGGAATTTCTTTTGAAAGGTAAGGTCATAATATTATGTCATAGTTATCATGTAATAACAATTATGATGGAATTTATAGTGTTTTATACTTAAGATGTAGTGATAATTTAGTACTAGGTACCAAATATGGCTGCACAAATACTTAGTTTTCATGATTAATTAGCCTTTTTTTCTCTCTCTCTCTTTGTGGCTGAATCAATAATAATTGGGTTCCTTCTTTCAAGTCTTGGAAGTAAACAGCCAATGAGAAGTAAGAGAGAAGAAATATAGAGAAATACATGAGCTGGGTGGGGGGTGACTGTGGTGTTTTTTTCTACATAAGTCACAACAGACTAGCATAACAGTGGGTAATATAAATCCCTCACCAGATAAACCCATTGTGGGATGTAACACCCAGACCCATGACAGAATCCTGCCTGTGACCAGATTGGTGGTCTGGCAGTAAAGCAGGCAGAGAATAGGTGGTATGGATGAAAAGTACATCTTGATCTACTACAGCCAATAAATAGGAATCTGTTCCCCTTTGTAATTTCCTGATATTAAGAGCTCACATTACTATCAAACTGTGTGCACAGGCTGGAGGATTGGCCCTTAATTCAATAGACCACTCAAAAGATCCTTGAGAAGAGACTCATACATGAAGGGTAATGAAGACTTTCTTTCCTTTTTTTTTTTTTTTTTTGAGACGAAGTCTCACTCTGTTGCCCAGGCTGGAGCGCAGTGGCGTGATCTCGGCTCACTGCAACCTCCGCCTCCCAGGTTCAAGTGATTCTCCTGCCTCAGGCTCTCAAGCAGCTGGGACTACAAGCATGCGCCACCACACCTGGCTAATTTTTGTATTTTTTTTAGTAGAGACGGGGTTTCACCATATTGGCCAAGCTGGTCTCAAACTCATGACCTCGTGATCCGCCCGCCTCGGCCTCCCAAAGTGCTGGGATTACAGGCATGAGCCACTGCGCCCGGCCTTTTTTTTTTTTTTTTTTTTTTTTTTTTTGAGATGGAGTCTCTCTATGTCGCCAGGCTGGAGTGCAATGGCGTGATCTCAGCTCACTGCAACCTCTGCCTCCTGGGTTCAAGCGAGTCTCCTGCCTCAGCCTCCCAAGTATCTGGGAATACAGGCATGTGCCACCACGCCCAGCTAATTTTTGTACTTTCAGTAGAGACGGGAATTCAACCATATTGGCCAGGATGGTGTCAATCTCCTGACCTCGTGATCTGCCCGCTGCGGCCTCCCAAAGTGCTGGGATTACTGGCATGAGCCACCATGCCTGGCCAAGACTTCCAAAACAAAAATGTGAGACACTTTCTACTCAAAATTACATGAAACGCTAGCCTGAAACAAGGCTTTCCCCTGATATGTTTAACTTACAGTCTTTTCTTCAAATCCAAATACTCCAAATGGAGAATCATTTTGTGGAATAACAACAGTTACCACAACATCATCACCAAGTCTGCCACCTCCAGCAACACTGATCAAGGAAATATTGAACGTCTCTGTCAATTCAAATTCAGCATCATCAATTATGGTGATTTCTATCATTGCAGTAACCTATGAAAGAAAGGAAGGAAGGGAGAAAGAGAGGGAGGAAAAGAAGGAGGAAGATAGGAAATGAGGAAAGAAATAATGTAATCACAGTTTTTGCTGACATATATTTTAATTTTTTAGTTGAAACCAAAAATCTCAGAAACATGGTACTAAAAAGTAGTTCTTTTTGCGTATTATATTTGTAATACTTTTAAAGTTGTGTATATTTATGGCATGTATATTTATGGCATTTTAAAGTTGTGTATATTTATGGTATTTCAAAGTCAGAAATTTACAGTCTATTATTTTCAAGATAAAACATTATTGATGTGATAAGAGTATTATTTACAGATTAAAAACAATAAATCCTTATTCTTAAAATTTTTTTAATGTCATGCAGGTTCTAACACCATTGCACAAACATAAAATGCAGTATGCTTGGTATTAATATTACATGATATGAAACTTACATAAAAATTACCAGTCTTCTACAATTAAAATAAATCCCATTGGTTTCAAATATTGTTCTTGCAACGTAGTCAAAAAGAAAGGCAGAAAGAAAACCCAAATTTGCTATTCCTGGATGTTTATAATCAGGATTTAGTTCAATTTTCTGAGTCTATGTTAAAAGTTTTTATAAACTGATAAATAAATAAAACTTGATCCAGCTTGCAGTTTCACTATTGGTCATAAAAATATTCCAATGTTTCTGACAGACATTTATCAGAAAATGAAATTAAATCTACCTAAAATCTTTAATTTAACAACAGAGAAAAGTGAAAAACCTGGATATCACACTCAGACAGATAGAAACATGAATAAAATCAAATGCTCAAATAGAAGGTAATTAAATTGCCTGCACCTCAAATCTGTGCTGTAGAATACAGAGTCCCTTCCCTAGAGGATGTGAATTTTAAGAATAAGTAGGATCCTATGGATGCTGGTTAATGATGGAACTTGAACCTCATGCACAGATAAAGTGCTGATAATGTCATTAAAGTTGAAAGGCTGCTTCAATGAATAATCAATGTATTTGTTTCTGCTTTTAACATAAGAATCTCATTGACTTGCATTCCGGTTTTTTGTTTTTTGTTTTTTTTGAGATGGAGTCTCGCTTTGTTGCCCAGGCTGGAGTGCAGTGGTGCAATCTCGGCTCACTGCAAGCTCCGCCTCCCAGGTTCACGCCATTCTCCTGCCTCAGTCGCCGGAATAGCTGGGACTACAGGTGCCCGCCACCACGCCCGGCTAATTTTTTTGTATTTCTAGTACAGACGGGGTTTCACTGTGTTAGCCAGGATGGTCTCCATCTCCTGACCTCGTGATCCACCCGCCTCGGCCTCCCAAAGTGCTGGGATTGCATTCCACTCTTTTTACTTAGGAAATGTTTCAAGTTCTAAATCTGCTTTAAAAGCTCAGGATTTCAAAAATATTAACAATAATGGGTTTTTCTGTGTAGGAAAATCTACATCTGTATGCTTACCTTTTAACAGCATTTACTACCGCCCCCCATGAGCAACAAATAAGTTGACGCATACTCTGGTAATTTGTCTAGCCAAAATAAGGCTACCTGTAGATAGAGGTGCTAGTTAAAGTTACTAACATTTTCATGGTTGTTCATATGCCTTTTCCACTTACTGATAAAAAAATGGTATGAAAACATCTTATTCTTACATATTACAAAATGCCAAGTTTACAAAATTTGTAATTCTTGGGGAATGTTTTATAATATTTAAGACTGGTTAGCCTAAATCTAGAATATTGTTTTTCAATTTTTCAAGTTTTAACTATTTTGTTCATTTTCTCTTATTTTAGTCAATTTTTTTAATTATAAAGGGCATTTTAGATATTAAGTAAAAACTGTCCACACTTTTAGTGCAAATTCTAAATAAATATCTATATTTACTGGCATTAAGAAACAAAATAAAAGATAAAAGAAACTAAAGTCCACAGGAAGAGTCTAGTTCATCAGACAGTTTTCTATACATTGTTAGGCACTTCTAAGTCAATTATTATCCTGTTTTGTAACTTCTATTTATTTTAAATAAAACTGGGGCGGGGGTTCAGAAAAGGGTAAGATTGTTGTATCTTTATAAGTCTCTTCCTATGCCCATTAATAAATTGTATTTCAATTAATAATATTTGTTTGACTTAACATAGAAACATTTAGAGTATAATGCATTTAGCAATCACCAATGTACATTCATTTGATGGATGCCTACAAAATGTCTGAAGCACAACTCAAAAAGGCTAATATGTTAATGACTGGCATACCTGTTTATCTGCAAATTCAAGAATCCCATGAGATGGTTTAAAGTCTTCCAGGCCAGCACTGTCTGGTGATGCTTTCCAATAAACATTTACTGCCCCAAAGCTTCCAGCCAGCCGGACTACAGGAACTTGAAGAACGTTCAAGGGTGGAGGCACCTCATAGGCAGTAATAACTTCCCCAGCGCCCTTTAAGTAAAGAATATAATTGAAAGGCAAGATAAAATGGTAACTCTCATAAGTCATCTTTCTAAAGTTATTGTTTCTACTTAACTTTCTATATTTCACCCTTTAAAGTAGAAATTAATAGTCAGATATAAGTATGCATAAAAGGTCTTCTGAACTCTTATATTTAATGAAAGTAAACTTGTTGAATCCTTTGGTCTAGCCCAAAGAGACCTAAGAATTAGTTTATAAGACAAATTTGGTTATTTATCTATTTAAAAATAAATACAGGCAAAGCTAAACATAAAACACTGGCCAAATCAGCAGGGAGAGGCCTCTGTATGACTGTAAACAAATGAAAGTTCATCTCACTCTAGTAACATGAAACATAAAAATTCCTCTGGGATCGTCATTTTCTTCTATCATTATCTCAGCTATTTCCATTCCGGGCCTCCGCACACTTGGCTGTCCTGTAGAGAAGTCAGAGTTCACCAGGTTCACCTCAGTGATAGTGACAATAAATCCTTCCTCCAATTCAGGAAGGTCATCCTGGGGGATGGGGGAAAAAGATGGTGTTTCATTTTTTTTTAAGACATTTAACTTGCATTGAATACTTGATATTTTTCAGTAAGGAAATAATTGACTTTGTTCACAGGAATGGGCAGCTCTGTCAAACATAAAAAAGATTCTTGTTATATTTTAATACATTCCCACTGACCACTTCAGAATCTATAGAATATTCTAGCTCACTGGTGATGTTTCAATGGAATCTTCACACTCATTAGCAAATAAAATAATTTTTAAAAATCTATCCTGAAATTTTGACCATATTCTATTGTATGTTTTACATATTTAATATCCCAAAAGAAAATTTAGGAAACACTGGTAAATGCTACATACATTTTTAAAGCAAAAGCTCTAGACTTGAAAATCTAGATATAAGCCTATATTTAATTTTTAAAAATTTCTTACTTTGTTTTTGCATAATGAAAAATTTCCAGAGATAAAAAATACTCTAAAAAGGGGGGGAAAACCCTCATTTCTATCCCATCCCTTATATCTTTCCCAAATTATACTCTTCAGGAGATACTATTACCTAAAACCACTAATACCACTATTAGTAACACTAACATTATATAATATCATATTTATTTAATAACATATAATATATTCTATGGTATATAATATATAAGATTAATACTATTTATATAATATAAAACAACATTTTGTTATTATTTTATAATATTATTAACACTAATCCACTATTAAAATTTCTTGTGCATCATTACTGATATAGTCACATATTCTCCCCCTCTCTTTCTCTGTTCTTCTCTCTCTCTCCATACATACATGGATAAATACAGATAGCTAAAACCAGATCTAAACCATCTGAAGACTAATCTTGATTCAAGTAATCATATCATGAAAGGAAAATACTGTCCTATTAAATGAATAATAAAAATAACCAGATTGATTTGGGCATTTCACTTGTTGTCATTAGTTTAAAAACTGACAAAACAAAATTACAGTGGATCCAATCAGATATAATTAATCTAAATTCAGTGCTTCAAAATTCATTCAAACAATATTCCAGTTCAAGAATAAATACAAGTAATAGACATCATTTTTGCCAGCCAGTTATAAAATATTATTCATTATTAAATACTTAGGTGGGTGGCAACAGTAGAATACTTACATTTTTATGTTTAAAAGAATCCTTTTATTAAAAAAAAGATTTTTACTTACAAGAGCATCACAATTTTACTTAAGAGAATTTTCCTCTATTTTAGATCACATTCTTTGCAGCCTTGACTTACCGGCAAAATGGAAACTTCGGCATGAGCTTCTTTTATGTTTTCTTTCATTATTATTATTGTTTCTTGCAATACATAATCTTCATTCTCAGTAGCTTGATTATCGACATGCAGTAAGAAATTGGGTTGAGCTCTCAAGTGAATGGCAATATCCCCAAGTAGTCCTTTATCTCGAGCTATTTGTAACTGAAGAGTGGTGGTGTTTTCTGTGAGAGAAACATGCCACGAGTAAATAGTCTTTTCTATTTGCTGTCAATGCTGTTACAAGGACCTAGAGTGGAACACTCTACTCTATCCCTTGTAGACAGTTAAGGAAAAAGAAGTAAAACAAAGACAATGTATACTCCCAAGGATCATTCTGGGCTTGGTCTTCCTGGTCCCCAAAGTTGGGCAGAGAATCACCATCCACTCCTAGCATTATATCCCAGTTCTAATCCCCCACTTCTGATTCTCTAAAGCACCCTCCTATGTTGCACATGTCATACACTTTAACAGAAATTGCTGCAAAGTCTTAGGGAAGTACAGATATGCAGGTTGAACAGAGATGATAATTATAAAGGCTCAAAAGATTCTTCAAAAAATGAAAAATTATATATACAAAGTCATTTAATGACTAATCATTAAGAGTGATTTTGTTCTTACAGTGACGTGCCTATCAGGAGGCTCAAAGTATTTCACAGCACCTAACTTTTATTTCATTGTTTAGATTTTAAAAACTTAATTTGCCATATTAAAGACCCAGGAACATAACCACATGTTGTATTTTTCCCATTGACTATTCAAATGAAAGGTACTTGAAAGCTGGATGTCCATGTTATTACGTGAAAATCTTAGAACCTTCACCAGCAGCTAATATGAATAATTATTTGGGTGATGATTTTAGTACTCAAAAGAGAAATTGACCACTGTACACTTCACAGGATAAAATTATTCTAATTACTATTTTGGATTAAACAATTAATACCTTTAGTGCCATGTACACATTTCATTGTGTTGCTCATTGTTCTCTGTAACTAGTGAAAATCTATAGAAAATATAGCTGAGTGAAGAAAGAGAACAGATGAATGATGAAAAAGATAAAGTAAAATAAAAAACAGTCACCTCTACTGTACTCACAACTAAAATATTAATATTTCTAATATAATGTATCTTTTAAAAGACACATTTCCTATAACATTACTGCTAGGTAATTTCACATGATTACCAGATTTAACAACAATAAACAAAAAGGATTGAGTATGACCTGCCAAACTGAAAAAGTCATATAAAAAGAGAAATTTACATTCCTTATAAATATTAGAATTAAATTATCCAATGAAGCTTCTCATTAAAACTTGAAAGATATTTAACAATATTTACCTTTAGGCTCTGCTACTCTAATGAAGACAGACGCAGCACGCCAGCCCACCAAGCCAAAAGGTGAGTCATTGGGCAAAGTTGTTATAACAGACTTGCTTCTGTCCTGATCAATAGTAGCACCTTTGTATGAGTCCTCAACCCCTTCTGTGGTGATACGGGTGAGGGTTACAATCACAACCTCTGATAACTCTGGTATATTATCAGCAAGAATAGTTAGAGTGATTGTTGACAGTACCTGGCCTTCAGTAAATAAAATCTAGAATTTTAAAGAAAGAAGATGTTATTTATTTTGTAATTGTCACTATGTAGTAAGAATATTTTAAAAATTGATTTTCTTTTATTAAACCTATAACTTAAATAGCAAGAGATATTTAAGCAACATAATAATATGATTCTACAAATCAGATGTCTTTCATATTAATGGAAGATTGTTAGGAAAAAGGAAGAGCAAACCATTTATAAACTTTAAGCTAATAAAAAAAAATGCAGCCAAATTGTCAAATACTGGAGACTGAATTCCATTCTAAGATAAAGTATACAGTCTCTCTGGGAATCTAAGTTCTAGATACCATATACAAAGATCCATAAAAGTAAAATAAGGTGGCATACTAGCTTAAAGATTTTTCTCTGCAAAACTTTTGCCCGGATTATTTCCTTTGACTAACTCTGAACAGATGTATCACTAAGCAATGAATCAACTAAAACACAGGTGGAGAGAGAAAGATAGGGAGAGATACAAATCATAGCAACTCTCTTCTCCTTTTATGTCTCTCCTGTCTAAAGAGTCAAATCCAAATTTGCTAAAAAGCATGGAAGACCTTGCTGATAGGACTTCTTGAATGCCATTTTTCACTGATTCCCACCTCACACACCACTCTCCAGCAATGCAGCTACAAACTATTTATAATTACTCAAACTAGCATTATAGGCTGATGTATCTACCTTTGCTGACATTCGTTTTTCCACCTGGAAAAGGCAATGGAGAATATAAATTCAAAAGCTCTATTCAGTCTATCATTGATGGACATTTAGGTTGATTCCATGTCTTTGCTATTGCGAAGAGTGTTGCAATGAACATACATATGCATGTGTATTTATCATAGAATGATTTATATAACTTTCAGTATATACCCAGTAATGGGATTGCTGTATTGAATGGTATTTCTTTCTTTAGGTATGCAGCCATAAAAGAAAAATGAGATCATGTCTTTTGCAGGGACATGGATGGAGCTGGAGGCCATTATCCTTAGCAAACTAACACAGGAACAGAAAACCAAATACCACATGTTCTCACTTATAAGTGGGAGCTAAATGTTGAGAACACATGGACGCATAGAGGGAAACAACACACACTGGGGCTTATTCAAGGGTGGAAGGTGGAAGAAGGGAGAGGATCAGGAAAAATAACTGATGGGTACTAGGCTTAAGACCTGGATGATGAAATGATCTGTAGAACAAAACCCCATGACACCAGTTTACCTATGTAACAAACTTGCATAGGTACCCCTGAACTTAAAATAAAAGTTAAAAAAATAAATTCAAGAGCTTTATTAATAAAATCAGAGGTCAGAAAACTACTGCCCAATGGCCAAACCCATTTGTCACAAATCAAGTTTTACTGGAACACAACCAAGCTCATTCAATTGCATATTGTCTATCGCTGCCTATATTGTCTGCTAATATTGCTTATATTGCCTAGCACAATTCTACTACAAAGGCAAAGCAGTAGTGAAAGAGACCAAATGGCTCACAAAGCCTAAAATATTTACTATCTGGCCCTTTACAGAAAAAAGATATACTAGCTCCCTGAATGAAATAATTAATTCTTCCAAACTATAGTCTATGTTTAAGGTACCATTATATATTTAAATTAGAAATAATTGTAATCATGTTTATATAAGAAATGATAACTGGAGAAACACAAATCAGAACATATAGAACCTGACAGACACAACTTACAGTTCTGGTAGCTTACCTAAAGTAAATATTAAATGCAATAGAATTTGCTATAACATTCTTAATATACAGAAGCTCCAATCACGTTTGAAATAATACAGAAACCTAGAAATGATGAACCATGATATATACCTGTCCTTTTTTTGAGACAGTTCCATGAGAGTTCCTTTAAAAGAACTCTTCAGAGAAGCATTTGGGCCATATACACAGACTAATCTATGAAACCAAAGGCAAGCCAAGAAGACAACCCATCTTCCAGCTAGGAACAAAAGGCTCTCTGATCCCTCTTGTTGTTAATCATGTACTTATTTGGCTCATTCTTATTCCATTCTTGAACCTCAGCTCCAACTTTATACTATTCTCCAGTAATAGATAATCTCGTCGTCTGCCCAGATCCCTTCTTGGGGCTGATGTACCCATCCCTCGGCTGCTAGGAACAACAGGTTCTGTGCTCCTCATTGGGAATCACCCTTTCCTACAGCAAACTGTCTCACTCAAGGTTATACCCAACCCTGAGGGTGGCCTAAAGCCAAGGACTGCTAAAATGGGGATATCAATAGCTTAGCTCTAAACTGGGAACAACTCCTAAGGACCAGCTCATCTCCTGAACTCAGTTGCAATCAACCTCAGTTGCAATTGCCTGTGGATCAACTTCTCCCTCTGCACATCCTCACCTTCCTCACATCCTCATAGATGTATCTCCCCAAAATCCTTCTGTCCACAACTCTCAATCTCAGAGTCTATTTACAGGAAGCCCAACCTATATCACTCCACAACTCAGATCTACTTTTTCATAAGTCCGACTGTTTTACACAGACTTGTTCCCTACTTACTACTTCCATTGTGCCTAAACCTGGAAACCACATTTTGATCCTATTTGGTTAATTTTATCTTTCTAACAATGTAATGCACCCACAATGTGGCCAACGAATGTACTGAAACTCAGAAAGAATGACTTTTTAAAGGACAATTTTGGTTTTATATTTTTTTAAAAAAGAACAATACCCACAACCAGAAAACTAACCTTAAATTGTATCCCTCTCTACAATGATTAGTAGGAATTCAGTGTTGATATGGTCAAACTCAAACACTTCATCCATAAGGCAGGATTTGGTCCCATACATCACTAGTAACCATAATTTAAAAGTGTTTCCTATAACTTTGTAAATTACATACCACTCCTGAGGTAGGAAATATATCACTAATACTTCCATCAGCTTCCCATGCTATGGTTATACGGCCATATGTTCCTTTTAAGCGTTCAACGTTCAAGGTTACTAGGCTATCTTGCTCCATTTCTTCCACTTGCTTATATAATGAATTCTGAAAAAATACACAGAAAGTCACAAGGGGTTCCCTGAAATTACCTAATCAGACTTCTTTTTTTGTCTCATGTTATTATGGATTTGCAAACTTTGTGGTCCTAAGCAACATGACATAGTAAGTGAAAACGACAATTAAAAAACAGTCATATAGAATGACCATGATTTAAAACACACATGTTTGAATAAGTAACAGACTAAGTGAAAGTAAGCAAAAATGTTAATTATTTTAGGATTATTTTATGTTTCTGTTTCTATATTTTTCAAATTTTGTTCAGTGAACATATATTACATTCATACTCAGAAAGCGTGTACTTTTGTAAAAGTATTCATAGCATGTAAAAAGTTTGTAGAAGAGAACGGATATAGAGTCAGGAGAGTAGGGAAGCCTTTTTCCTCTGTGTAACTTCTGGCAATCCCACTAGGTCTTTGTTTCCTATTTGTAAAAGAAGAGCTTGACCTATATGGTTTCCAACATCCCATCCATGCACAACGATGTCATGAGAATTAGAGCTTTCTCCTTGATCACTGGCAAATGTCTCTTATTCTTAAATTCATATCCTCGGAAATGTTTCTGTGGGCTCTTCTGCCTCCTTTGATGGTGTTTCATCCTTAGCTCATGGCCTTTACAACTGTTTTTTCCTGCCTGAAATATCCCTTTCCCTTATGATAGAATTACTTACTTTCTTTCTTCTTATCTATGCTTCCTAGCCTCTTTCTTTTGTCCCAAACTAATTATCTGTTTCTGTGTGACTACACCATTCTTCACCAAACATACACAACGTCTCTTGTCAGCCATTTCATGAACTGTTCCTCAAAATGAATGCTTCAAAGAATCTCTTCTTACAATACCCCTGGATTTTCCATATGCAGTAAAGCAAGAATATGGAGTGTAAAGATTTTTGAAAATCTTCCCATTCAGGTCACTATGATAACCTGAAAAGAGATTCCCCCATTAATTTCTTAAAACTTATGAGAGCTTTTACTTAGAATGCTAATTTGAGTAGCGATCCTATCCTTTAGCAATATTTTACACAGCATTTTAACACATTGTTACAGATGTTACATAGTAATAAAATCTTGCTCCAGGCAATCAAACATTCCTAAATAAAATGCCTTGATTTTAAAATATGCACATAATTTATTCACAAAAGACAATGCCTTTTTAAAAAGCCAGCTCTCTCTGGCTCCATGCCCTCCATCAATGAGGGTTAATAAAATGAGCACTTCATGCAGCCAGAAAATATTCAAGAAATTCTCATTATCTGCTATATCTCATTTTGAAATGAGATTGTCCAGACATCAAAGACCTGTAATGAAGAATTCTACTGAACAGATTGAAAGAATTCAGTATCTATTGGCAAGTATTGAATAACAGTAATTGTATGTCTCCAGAACAATTTTGGAACAAGCTTCATAAAGGGAAATCTACCATTCTCAAACAGTTGAGGAATAGCATGTGCTCTCCATCTGCTGCAAGGCTGCAGGGTGAGAAGATGGAACCACACAGCAGAGCATGTCGGTTCTCACCCCAGGAAGCCCAGCTCTGCCCTATAGAGTTGTATAAGGCCTTGAGAAGGCCTTGTAAGTGTTCTGCCTCTCCCACAGAATGACAGGTTCATCCTAAGCCCCTAATGTGTGCCAGGCACTTTTCTGGGTGCAGGGATAAAGCTGTGAGCACAGCAGTATACCAGCTCTCATACTCTTCAATTCTAGTTAAAAAAAAAACAAAAAAAAACTTGATGATAGACAAACTAGGCAATTATAAGTGTCATGAAGAAACTTTTTATAAGGATAAAAAGATACAGAATGATGGTGGGGAGCTGCAATTTTCCATCAGTGATCTTTCTGGTAAGGTATCATTTTGCAGAGATCTGAAGAAAGTGAAGAAACAAGTGAGTACCTAATAAGAATAGGGTCCTCTTGTTTCTTTCTAACTCTCCCTACTCAAGACCCAGTTCATGTCTTAGGGTTGCCTTCTCCTTCACAGTAGCCACTGGCCACATGTGGCTATTGACCAGTTGAAATGTAGTTAGTGTAGCTAGTCTATAAGTGTAAAATGCGCACTAAAATTTGAAGACAAGATATGAAAAATGTAAACTATTTCCTCAATAATTTTATGTTGATTGTATGTTGAAAAAATATTTCAGATACATTGGGTTAAATAAAATATATTAAAATCAAGTGACCTGCTTCTTTCTACTTTTTAAAAAATGTAGGCTGCTAGGAAACTTAAATTTACATATGAGGCACACATTATATCCCTATTGGGCAGAGATGCCTCAGAGGAAGCTGATCTACTACGCTTAGCTCCAGGAATGGACCAGATTGAGTAGTAGTGTAAACTTCTGACCCTTGCATGCAACAGACACAAGACTTTAAGCACATCCAAAACTCCTCATCTTATCCCCTAAACCTGCTCTTCCTATAGTCATCCATATCTCAATGAGCAGCAAATTCATGCTTCCCATAGCTCCATCATTTATTACTGTAATAATTCCTAACTGGTCTATTTCTGTCCTTGCCCATTTACAATCTATTCTCTATACTATGGTCAGAGTTGTTCCTTCTAAAATGTGAGTCAGATCATTCACTTTTCTACTCCTCCCCTTCAAAGGCTCTCTAATTCCCTCAGGGCCCAAACTCATTACAATGCTAATGGGCTTATGCAGGAAAGTGTTCACACAGCAGACCTGACTGCTATCCTTAAAGGCTTGTTCACAGGTCGGCTATCCGCTGGTGTCTGGGAACTGGAATTTCAGGAGAGTTCCCACCATTCTGGAACTATTAAGTGGCTCCCAGTGCCTAAACTGTGTAATAATTGTGGTTTATGCTGAACATTCATTTCTTTCTGAGAGTCTAGAATTTTGGTATGTGCCAGGCAGAGGGTGCCTGCATGATCAGACCCCAGTTAAAATCCTGGGCACTGAGTCCCTAGTATGCTTCCCTGGTTGGCAACATTTTATACATCTTGTGACAACTCAATGCTGGGGAATTAAGTGTGTCCTGTGTCAATGGATGGGGGTGGGAGGGGGAATCTTAGAAGCTTGCCCTGGCTTCCTCTGGACTTTACACCCCATGAGCTTTTTCCCTTCAATGATTTTATTTTGTATTCTTTGCCGTAATAAATCATAGCCATGGATATGACTAAATGCTAGGTCCTGCGAGTCTTCTTAGTGACTCATCGAAACTGTGGGTGGTCATGGGGATCCCTGACACAGAGCCCTGGCCCTGCACCTGTTGAACCTCATCCCCTATCACATGCAGACATCAGCCACAGTGGCCTCCTTGTTGCTCCAGATGGGCAGGGCTACACTGCAGGGCCTTTGCTCTTGCTGATGGGTCCTTCTGCTTTAAATGTTCCTACCCCAGATATTACATAGCTCACACCCTCATCCCCCACCAGTCTTTGTCATTCTGTCATTTCCTCCAAACAGCCCTTACTGATCATCCTATTTTAGATTTCCCCACATACAACCTCCACTCCCTCCCTTGCATTCTCCATCTGCCTTCCTTGCCTAACATTTCTTCATAGTACACTCATCACCATCAGATATAGTACATATTTTCTTATGTCTGTGTTTACTGCCTTTCTCCCCTTGCCCTCTCTAGAATTTAAGGACCATGAAAATAAAGAATTTTACCGTCTTATTTTCTAACATGACTGTAGCATCTGAAACAGTATCTGGTACCTAACAGGCATTTGTTAAATAACTGCTGCATGAATTAATGAATGAATGAGTGAGTGGGCTTGTTACCCAGTTCTGGACAATGAGACATAAGCCATTTTCTAGAGTCTTTTGGGAAATGTCTTCTTTACTTTGAGAATCTCATAAAATATCTCTCTCTGCCCCAAATGAACATGAGCAGAACATAGTAACCTTAACAATAACATCAGCTTTCAAACAACCAAATGAAAGTCAATTTTGTGATGGCAAAGTAGAGAGATGGAAACAATCTAAGCCAAAATGACATGGTAGAGTATCCAACTAACCCCGAAGCTCACTTTCTCTGAGGACATGCTCTTGGTGTGCAGGCAAACTTGGGTTAGGTTTTCCTCATATGAAAAATATTTCAGAGAAAGATACATGATAGCTGCAGCTATAACTCAAATTAAGAAGTAAGAATTCACTTTACCAAAAGGACTAAATGATGCAAATAATAGATGTCCTTTTGCTTGCTGATAAAGAAATATGAAATCTGGGCACGGAAGTAACTTAGGATTTGCATGGTTCTCTTTCCTCAGGAAGACATCTACATGTCCAACATACATATAATTACAACCCTCTCTCTCTCCTCCACCCTCCCCCCACCCCACCTCTCATTCTCTTCCCCTCTCCACAGAAGTAACAAAGCATAATAGGATAGTAATATATTTGTATGTGATGTGTATATCACACAGTATATATTGCATTTAGCATCTATTTCATCCTTTCTCTCTGGTAACAGCTAACAGCAGAGCCAAACTTTCAGACCAAGATCAACTTGTAACATTTCAAAGTCAATCCTATAAAAGGAATCTGAAAATAAAATGATTAGGACAAGTTGACTCAGAGTCCAGTGTGTAAGACTGTAAATTGCAAAATGTCAGTAGAATTCACCCTAGAATGCACATAAAAGGGAGGCAGGGGAAAGGGAAGGGAGAGAGGCTGATGACACTCAAACTATGACTTGCTGAGTGCTAATAATAGCTAATACACAAATACAATAAATAAAACATTTTGCATTGCAAGTGTGGGGTCTTCAGTATCATTACCTGAGCAAATGCAACAATTCCATAGGCATCATCATTAGACAGAATGGTTATTGTTACAGAATCATTAATGCCAATCTCTGCTCCTCCTTTGGGATTTTTAAGTTGAACTTTGAAGGATTCTTCTTTTTCTGGAACTGTATCATCAAGGATATTTACTGCTATTGTAGCTTCTCTCTCACCAGGTTCAAATATCAGTTCACCTGAACTACCATAAGAAGCATATACAAAATAAGTCAACTACAACAAATTTAAGATATATACATAGTAGACTACTCATTACATTAATTGATATTAAAGGTTTGGAAGAATCACAACATTTCATAACGAAAATTTTAATCCAAAATATTCATGTAATACTGATAAACTTGATAGAATAGATATTAGAAACATGGATAATAACCAAATTTCAGGCTGATAAATAGCTCTTATATTTTGTATATTTTTCAGTCACCAAATAATGACTTGGAAATGAGCTGTCATACAAAATTACAGTGAACATAAAGATACTTAGCAAAAAATGTTGAACCTACCTAGGAATAAAGTCAGAATGGCTGGAAATGTAGGCTAGCTCATATATATGTGAATGAGCTCCCACTAGAGCTATTAAATTCTTGCTTGAATTAAGGGACTTTACTGTAACAGAAGCCACATCATAAGCAGAAGGTACTTCCAGAACAAAAGAGAATTGATTACGCTCCGAATTCCAGCAGTAAAGAGCAGACATATCTTGGCCAATAAGAAGTATGTGGGCTGCAGGAAGGAAAGAAAAAACAACTTGAGTGAGATATAAACTGTCACCTCCCACACTCCCTGCATCGGTTCCAAAGCAAAATCTTCCAAAATCTCAAAGTTCCATTGTGATTTCTGAGGTAACTAAATATACTTCAATTTCTGAAATAACTGGACGTAAATAATAATTTTTTAAGTGCTTTAGAATGATCAAGCCAGCTTGATGAGGTTTCCATACCCATTTAATAAAAAAGAAATTACTGGCTGCTAAAACCGAAACTAATTTTAAACTCTTTTATATTCATCTTAATATTTATTAGATAGCATATTAGGATATTTTAAAAAGTGAAACATACTCATAATCCCATCATGAAATGCTTCATTTTCCTTTCTAGTTATCATTCATATGAATTCATAATTGACACAGTTATAAACAGTATAAATACAAAAAACTCTTAATTAACAATATTACACCATGTCCATACTATTACAGTTTTCTGTTTCTACACAGTTTTCAAGTCTATGATTTCAGTGCATAGATAATATATATGGTTGATCAAAATATATTTAATAATTTCCCTACATTTGATATTTGTTATTGTATATTTAATTATTAAATATTAAGTAGAGACAGAATTATTCATGTTAATTATCTTCACTTGATAAATTCTTCAAGTTAATTAATTAGGCCAAAGGATATGAACAAATTTATGACTCCTAAAGTATATTCTTCCAATGTTTTTGAAATGTTATCAGGAAACCATACTTTTGATAGTTCAAAGCAAGGCTGGGTGCAGTGGCTCACATCTGTAATCCTAGCACTTTGGGAGGCCAAAGCAGGAAGATTGCTTGAGCCCAGGGGTTCGAGACCCGGCAACATAGTGGGAGCCTGTCTTTACAAAAAACAAAAATTAGCCAGGCATGGTGGCAAGCACCTGCGGTCCCAGCTGCCTGGGAAGCTGAGGTGGCAGGATCGTTTGAACCCAGGAGGTCAAGGTTGCAATGAACCATGATCATGCTACTGCACTCTACCCTAGGCAACAGAGTTAGATCTTGTCCATATGTATATATATATATCAGTTAATAGGGTTGCTTCTAAAAAAGAAGTAAAAAATAGCCAAAGGACATATTTATATCTACACAAGTTAAGAAGGAAGGGGGCTTACTATATTATATACAATACTAAATAATTTCCAGACTTAAATAAAACTGGGAGAAAAAATGAGAAATCATAGAAAAACATGTACAAATTCCAGTACCTAGATAAACACATTGGAACATAAATATATCAAATGAGGCCGGGCACGGTGGCTCATGCCTGTAATCCCAGCACTTTGGGAGGCAGAGGCAGGAAGATCACGAGGTCGGGAGATCGAGACCATCCTGGCTAACATGGTGAAACCCTGTTTCTACTAAAAATACAAAAAATTAGCCGGGCATGGTGGTGGGCACCTGTAGTCCCAGCTACTTGGGAGGCTGAGACAGGAGAATGGCGTGAACCCAGGGGGCGAAGCTTGCAGTGAGCCGAGATCGTGCCACTGCTCTCTAGCCTGGGCGACACATTAAGACTCCATCTCAAAAAAAAAAAAAAAAAAGATATCAAATGAGATTGGTTAGATATTAAAATAGCACCAAGAATAAGAACATATGAGCCTCTTCTACAATTTTAGCCCATAGGTTACAACGGAAAGCCCCATATCCTTACTCTTACATATCAAGAACCACTGTTCGTGCTTATTTATAGTAATGGACTTAAATACTATCACACTTCAGCAAACGTTGCATAAAAAGTTAAGGCAGTCAATAAAAAGGCTATCAATAAATTTGCATTTTAAATGGCCATATATTTTTCATCAAGTTTTATAAAACTGGAGACACTGAGTAAAAAAATTAATTCAGGGGCATCTCAACATCTCTGAAGTTTAAAATGAGCTGATTCAATAGTCTCAACCAAGATAACCTCTGCCTGTAGTAAAATGACCTTCTGTACTCACGGACTTCCAATGTATATCAGCAAACCAAGACCCTCCTCTAAACTCTATAATCAGTAGTGCTTACTCTGCATGTGAATGGCAAACTTAACATATTCCAACCAAACTCATTTTCTCTGCCCCTAAAAGCCTGGTCCTCTCCCAAGCAATCACCACCACAAAAGTTACAGTACTACCATTCACCCACCAGTTGCAGAAATTAGGGCTCATCTTTGACATCCTCTTTCTTGTCTCCCTCCGTATCTAATCTATCACCAACCCCCGTGGTTTTACTTGTGAGACATCATCTGAATCAATCTACTTCTCTAACCAGCATCACCTACCACTTTCCAAGCTTCATCTTTCAACATCTCTAAAGAATGCGCCTCCAGCTCTTTCTCAGACATCTTCTCTTCTAACATTTAAGTTTTTCCTCCATGGCAGCCACACATGCATGCACACCCGTGCGCACACACACACATGCTCTCTCTTTCTCTCTGCCCATCTCTCTATCTCCACCTCCCCATCACCTCCTCAAGAAAGGCATCTCAATACTTTTAGGATAAAGACCATAATCCTTTAAGTCCCTATCTGATTACATCTTCAGTTAAACCCAGTATCACTGTTCCCTTACTGTCTGTATTTGGGCCACATTGGTCCCTTTCTAGTTCCCTAAAAGCACATGCTCACCACCACCACCTGACCTCTCTTTGCCTAGAGCTGATCCATCATCAACTCTGCCTCTTCAACTCCTACTCAACATATAATTCTCAATTAAATGATTCTTCCTTAAGTAAGTTTTCTGGGCATCTCTTAGACCAGGGCAAGTCCTCTCATTTTGTAGTATGAAAGTATTCTATCCTTTCATAGCAGTTATCCATTTATAACTAGAAACTTATATGTATGATTATACATAATATCTCTCTTCCCTGCTACTTGTAAAACTTCTTCAGCGCAGGGTTTATATGTAGTTTTGCTTACCCTTGTTTCCCCAGGGTCTATCAATGTGCTTGGCACATAATTGCACTTAAAAATATCTATTAACTACTAAAGGAGAAAAGGGTGAAAGCGAAGATAAGTTTGTATGTCCTTGTAGTCTTTGTCATATTCATTCTTCTTCTTCCATTTAAAGAATTCAGTCACCACCCAATAATCTCTGTCAAGTCATTAACCAGAATAAATATGTGATCCTCATGGTTATAGCTCCAATCTAATACTTTTAATAAAATATTTGACACATTCAAAATAAGAAAGCCCTTGAACATTATTTAATGCATAATTTCAGCTTTCAGGAGATCTATAATAAGCCATTCTAAATAATTACCTACAATCTTTTCATACTTCTACAGCCTCAAGTCACAGAAACAAAAGAAATAAAGAGACCTCACAATGGGTCCTTTAATAAGTCTCTGGCAGAATTTTTTGCAAATTCTTTTAGAAAGTATGCCTATTATATATTTTTTAAATCTTTAAAGAGAATTCTATAACTTTAATTAATGGCCCTTCAGGCAGCACTCATCATCTTTAAAAACATTCATTAGGCAACTATTTTGAATAATAATAAGTGACTCAAGGAGACATAGTTAGTCCACTTGAATACTTGAGGAATAAGAAAAGCAAATATAATAAAGGCAAAAAATTAAAGGACAGGTAGACAAAAACTAAACAAATATATGATGAAAGATACATAATTTACTCAACAAATCACTTGTTGAATGATAAGTCACTCAAGTTGTATATCTTAGGATAATAACAGATTTATGACGAGTCAAAGTGTTGACAATGTAAAGAGAAGTTATTTAAGGAAAGAATGAGCAGAACAGAGACAGGCAGAGGACTCTGATGGCAAAGTAAAGATAGTGTGGAGGCCAGGAAGTGATGTAATAGTCCAGGTAGAAGGTGGCTGGGGACTGGGAGAATGTGGTATGGGCATTCCACAGGGATGAGGAGGAAGGAGTAGAAAACATGGAAACAAAGTACAATGTGAGAAACAATCTATAAAAAGTGAGAGGTAAATAGAATGACATCAGCAAGATGGTGGAATAGGAACTCTCTGGCTCCACCGTTTTCTACAGAAATCCAATTTGCAACTATTCAGAGACAAGAATACCTTGATGAATATCCCAGAACATGGGAGTGAGGCTGAAACAACCCCTTGGACCACAGACAAAGAACAGCTACAATTGAAGTGTAAGAGGAACAGTTTCTCTTTGACTATGTTGCCCCTCCCCCAAGCCAGCACAGTCCGGCACACAAGAGATTCCCCGGGAACTGTGGGTTTTTACAGAGGGAAGAGAGAGTTGAGTTGGAGGCAGACATTCAGCTTCCCCAACATTCTGGGCCCATTCACAGGTAACACTCCCTTGTCTTGCCCCACTGGAAACACTAGCTATCAACAGGGCTAGACCACCTGAGGTCACTTAGAAACAACGAACAGGGGTAGGGCTCACAGTGACAGACAAGCAGATCTTGGTGGCGGCTCTGCCTTGTGGCCAGTGGAGGCACACCACCAGAAAGAATACCCAACAGCATTGCTCTGAATGAGGCACAGTTGACAGGCCTCCCAGGCCCAAATCCCTGGCCAGCTTCCACAGCCAGCCTGCGTGCTCTCCTTAAAACTTCCCCAGGCCAGGAGATAGCGGCATGTTGATAATTATCTGCTGAGTAAACATCTAGCTCCACCCAAGCTTAGTGATTGAGCTGCAACCCAACCAAGCTCTAGAGTACTCTTTAGTCCTTTCTCAGGCCAGAAGGCAGGGGTACATTTGTCATCATTCACAGAGGGAGCATCTGACCCCACCTAGATGCAGCCACAGAGCTGTGATCTAGCCAAGCCCTGGTGATCTCCTTCACAGCCACTTCCAGGCCAAGAAGCAAGGGCAGGTCAGCATTATCCACAAAGGGACCCTCTGACCCTTCCCAGACCCACGGATTATCCAAAGAGAGCATCTGACCCTACTCAGACCCAGCTGCAGAGCTGTGACTTAGCCAAGCCCCAGTACTTTCCTTAACTTCGCTCCAAGCTAGAAGTTAAAAGCAGGTCAGCAATTATCTGAATCTAGTCCTGCCCAGACTCAGCTAGTGAGCATCAATCCAACCAAATCCTGGGGCTCTCCTTAAGCCCTTGCCAGGCAAGGAGTCATGTGCATGTGTGTGAATGTCTTCTGAGGGGAGCATCTGACTCTGCTCAACTACAGCAGCTAAACAGCTACTAAACCAAACCTCAGTGCTGTGCTTAAGGTTACCCTAGTATGGGAGGCAAGCCCATGTCCATGCATATCTATGCAGCATAGCCTGCAGTCCTGCCTACCCTGAGTAGTTAAGTAGCAATCTAGACACCTCACCCAGCCTCCCAGCCAAGTAGGTGGCCCTGTGCAGATATAGATCCCAAACCACAGCACTATCCAGCCAGAGAAGACAATCTACAACACTGATCAGAGGCAATTACTACGCCCAGGCAACAGCTCTGACTTACTGAAGACCCCAACCAGAGATGTCACTGGATCTCAGAGCACAGCCAGCACTTCCATTTGATCCCAGGTCACAGGTAACAGCCCAGCCCAAATACAAAACATGATAACAAAGTCTACTTGTCTGGGGTCACTACCAACTAACCCAACCAGAATCCCAAGCTAGACTAAATAGTGAAGTTCTATCACCACCACAGAACACTAGAAAAGCCTGAAAAGGGTGGCTGTTTCCTCACATGTGCAGATGCCAACATAAGGATTTTTTTTAAATCAGGGAAATATGACCAAAAGAAATTAATAAAGTTCCAATAATGGATCTTGAAGAAATGGAGATCTATAAAATGAATGACAAAAATTCAGAATAATTCTCTTGAAGTTCAGGGAACTATAAGAAAATACAGATGAAACAGTAAATGCAATTTGGAAAACAATTCATTAACAAAATAAGAAATTTGACAAAGAAATAAAAACAAACAAAAAAACAAACAGAAACGCTAGAAATAAGGAATACAATGACTATTCTAAAAATTCAGTAGAAAATTTCAACAGCAGACTTGATCAAGCAGAAGAAAGAAAATTAGTGAATTAAAAGATAGGATACTTAAAGTTATCCAGTCAAAGAAGCAAAAATAAAAAAGAATGAAAAAGAATAGAGAAGGTCTATAGGAATTATGTGACACAATCAAGAGAACTAAGCTGTACATAACAGGAGTTCCCAAAGAAGAGAAAGAAAAAATACCAAGAATCATTATTTTTAAAAATACTGGCTGAAAAATGCCTAAATCTGGGGAAAGACAACACTATCTAGAAATTGGAAGCTCAAAGTTCTCCAGTCAAATTCAACTCAATGAAGAGTTTACCCAGACAAAAATCAAACACAAAGAAAGAATACTGAAAGCAGCAAGAGATAGAGAATATAGTCGCATTCAAAGGCGTCTCAATATGGCTAATTAGCAGATTTCTCAGCAGAAACCCTGCAGACCATGAGAGAGTAGAATAATAAACTCAAAGTAATGAAGAAGGGGAAAAAAACTTCTACCAAGAATACTTTACTCAGGAAAGCTGTCCTTCAGAAACAAGAGAGAATTAAATTTTTCCCAGACAAAAGCTAAGAGAGTTTGTTACCACTCGGCCTGCTCTATAGAATTGCTAAAGGGAGTTACTTAAGCTTAAATGAAAGTCTGATAACTAATAACATAAAACATGAGAAAATTTAAAGAAAACTGAATGGTATAAGTAATATAGTCATGTTCAGGATATTCTAATAATGTAAGGTGATTATATAAAGCAAATTTATCTCTCAGGTTTAAAAGACAAAACTATTAAAAATAACTGTAGCTATAATAAACTGTTAGGAAATACAAATTACAAAAAAAATTCTGAGATCAAAATCATAAAAGTTTTAGGGGAGAGAACATAAAAATATAGTTTTTGTTTGCTATGAAGTTAATTTTTTATCAATTTAAAATAGCTGTTTCTGAGTACAAGATGTTTTATGTAAGCCTCATGGTAACCACAAAGCAGAAAACTACTGTGGAAGCAAAAACTATAAAAAGAAAGGATTAAAAGCAGACCACCATAGGAAACCATCAAGCCACAAAGGAAAACAGCAACAGAAGAAGAAAGAAACAAAAGATCTACAAAACAAACAGAAAACAAATAATGAAAGGGCAGTAGCAAGTCTGCTCCTATTAATAATTATCCTGAATGAAATTGATTAAATTCATCAAAAGACACAGAATGGCTTAATGTATTAAAAAAAAATAAGATCCAATCATATGCTGCCTACAAGAGACTATTTACCAATAACGACACATATAAAGTGAAAATGAAGGAATGGAAAAAGGCATTCCTTGCAAATGTAAGTCAAAACAGAAGGGTAGATATACTTATATCAGGTAAAATAGACTTTAAGTAAAAAACTATAAAAAGGGACAAAGAAGACCATTCTATAACAACAAGAGGGTAAATTCATCAAGAAGACATAGCAATTATAAATATACATACACCCAACATTGGAGCACCTAAATAATAAAGCAATTATTAAGTGATCTGAAGGGTGATATAGACTGCAATACAATAATAGTAGGGGACCCCAGTATCCCACTTTTAACAATAAACTGACTATCTAGACAGCACATCAATAAGAAAACACTGGACTTAATTACACTGTAGACCAAATAGACCTAACAGACATATACAAAATCTTCTATCCAAAAGCAATAGAATACACTTTCTTCTCAAGCAAACAGAACATTCTTCAGGATAGACTATATGTTAGGCCACAAAACATGTCTTAACAAATTTAAGAGCACTGAAAGCATAGCAAGTATGTTTTCTGATCATAATGGCATTAAGCTAGAAATCAATAACAGAAGAAATCTTGGGAAATTCACAAATATGTAGAAATTAAATATACTCTAAACAATAAATGACTTGCAGAAGAAATAAAAAGATACCTTATGACAAAAATAAAAATAATATACTAAAATGTATGGTATGCAGCAAAAACAGTCCAAAAAGGAAAATTTACAGCAATAAACGCCTGTATTGAAAAAGAAATAAAATCTCAAATAAATGGTCTAATATTACAACTAAAGGAAATAGAAAAAGAACAAACTAAGCCCAAAGTTAACAGAAGGAAGCAAATAACAAAGAGCAAAAATAAATAAAAGACTAGAAAAACAATAGAAAAAAATAAATAAAACTAAGAATTGTTTTTTTTTAAAAGAAAAAGTTGACAAACCCTTAGCTACATCAACTAAGAAAAAAAGTGCAGATTCAAACAAAATCAGAAATAAAAGTAGAGACATTACAACAGATACCACAGAAATACAGAAATACAAAGGATCAAGAGAAACTACCACAGTTATGTGCCAAAAATTGGATAACCTTGAAAAAATGAATAAACGTCTAGACACATAGCACCTACTAAGACTGAATCATGAAGAGATAGAAAACCTAAGCAGATCAATAATGAGTAAGGAAATTAAATCAGTCATAAAACGACTCATATCAAAGAAAGTCCCAGAACCTGATGCCTTTATGGCTGAATGCTACCAAACATTTCAAGAGCAAATACCAATCCTTCTTAAAATACTCCAAAAAATTGAAGAACAGAGGATAATTCCAAATTCATTTTACATGGCCAGCATTATCCTGATATAAAGGCCAAAGACCCTATAAGAAAAAAAGAAATTACAGGCCAATATCTCTGATGAACAAAGATGCAAAAATCCCTAGTAAGACAATAGCAAATTGAATTCAACAATGCAATAAAGGAATCATTCACCATGATCAAGTGGGATTTATTCTTGGAATTTATGGATGGTTCAATATATGCAGATCAAGAAATGTGATTCACTACACTAAGAAAATAAAGAAGAAAAACCAAATAATCATCTAAATTGATGCAAAGTATTTGAAAAAAATCAACATCCTTTCATGATAAAAGCTCTCAAAATAATAGGTATAGAGGAAATGTACTTCAGTACAATAAAAGTCACATATAACAAACAAGTAACCAACATTATACTCAATGGTGAAAAGTTGAAAAAGGTTTTCTCCAAGATCCTGGCCAAGACAAAGATGCCCACTATTGTCACTTCCTTTCAACATCGTTCTGAAAGTTCCAGCCAAAGCAATTAAGCGAGAGAAAGAAATAAGACATACCTAAATAGGAATGGAAGAAATTAAATTGTCTCTGTTTGCTGACAACATGTTTTATATATTGAAAACCCTAAAGTTTGCATTAAAACAAACTCTTAGAACTGATAACTGAAGTCAGTAAAGTCGTAGGATACAAAATCAACATACAAAAATCTGTAGCATTTCTATACACTAATAACTAGCTATCCAAAAAAGTTAAGAAAACAAGCCTATTTACAACAGCAATAAAGACGAACGACTGGTATACTGAAAACTGTACAACGCTGATGAAAGAAATAGAAAAAAACACAAATAAATAAAAAGATATCCCATATTCATGAATTGAAGGAATGAATATTGTTAAAATGTCCATGCTACCCAAAGTGATCTACAGATTCAATGCAGTCCTTATCAAAATTCTGGTATCATTTTTCTATTTTCACAGAAATAAAAAAAATTTAAATTCATATGAAACCACAAAACACTCTGAATAGACAAAACGATCTCAAGCAAAAAGAACAAGGCTGGATGCATCACACTACCTGACTTCAAAATATAAAGCAATTATGATCAAAACATCTTGGTACTGGCATAAAAACAGACTGACTGATCAAATGGGATAGGATAGAAAGCCCAGATATTAACTCACACTTTCACAACCAATTGATTTTTGACAAAGGTGCCAAGAACACACAATGAAGAAAGAGAGTCTATTCAATAAATGGTGTTGAGAAAATTGGATATCCACATGTGGAAGAATGAAATTAGATCCATTATTTCATACCAAATACATAAATCAACTCAAAATAAATTAAAGACCTTAAGTTATAAACTACTCAGTGAAAACGGGGAATATCCCCATGACATTAATCTGGGCAAGGATTTTTTGATTGACTCCAGAAGTTGAGGCGACAAAAGCAAAAATAGACAAATGGGATTGCATCAAATTAAAAAGTTTCTGCACAGCAAAGGAAACAATCACAAAATGAAGGGACAACCCAAAGAATGGGAAAAAACATTTTAAACCCATACAGCTATCTGATAAATGGTTAATATCCAAACTATATAAGAAACTCAAATAACTCAATAGCAAGGAAACAACCCAATTAAAAAATAGGCTAGGCCGGGCCCAGGGGCTCACGCCTATAATCCCAGCACTTTGGGAGGCTGAGGCAGGTGGATCATGAGGTCAGGAGTTTGAGACCAGCCTGGCCAAGATGGTGAAATTAGCTGGGCATGGTGGCAGGTGCCTGTAATCCCAGCTACTCGGGAGGCTGAGGCAGAAGAATCACTTGAACCCGGGAGGCAGAGGTTGCAGTGAGCTGAGATTGCACCACTGCACTCTAGCCTGGGCGACAGAGCAAGACTCTGTCTCAAAAAAAAAAAAAAAAAAAAAATAGGCTAAAGACCTGAAAAGACACTTCTTAAAAGATGCCTTATATATGGCCAACAGGTTCATGAAAAAAATGCTGATCACTAATCATTAGGAAAATAAAAATTAAAACCAAAATAAGCTATCACCTCACACCTATTAGAATAAATCTTACACAAAAATAAGTGTTGAAGAAGAGGAGAAAAGGAAATGCTTGCAGATGCACTGTTGGTAGAAACGTAAACTAGTAAGATGTTGTGGAAAATGGTATGGAGGTTCCCCCAACAATGAACAGAATGATCCAGCAATACCCACTTCTGTCTAAGAATATGTCAAAAGAAATTGAAATCAGTATGTCAAAGGGATATCTGCACTCCCATGTTCATTACAGCACTATTCACAATAGCCAAAATGTGAACTCAAACTATATATCTATCAACAGATGAATGGATAAAGAAAATGTGGTATATATACGCGATGGAATACTATTCTGCTTCAAAAAAAGAACAAAATTCTGTCATTTGGGACAATATGGATGGATCTGGAAGACATTATGCCAAGTAAATAAGCTAGGCACAGAAAGACAAATACTGCATGATCTCACTAGTTGCGGAATCTTTTAAAAGTTGAATTCATAGCAAAGGGTACAACAATAGTCACCAGGGCGGGGAAGAGCAAGAGAATGGGAAGTTGGTGGTCAAAAGGTACAAAATTTTGGCTAGACAGGAGGAATTTTTGAGATCTGCACACCAGGGTGACTATAATCAATAATAATGTATAGTATATTTCAAAATAACTAAGAGTACATTTCAACTGTATCATCACAAAAATGTTAAGTAAGTGATGGATATGTTAATAGCTTGATTTAATATTCCATGTTGTATACATTTATCAAAACATCATATTACACTCAATATGTGTAATATAATTATAACTTGTAAATTAAAAATAATACTAATTTAAAAGTTAGACATAAATAACCGTGATTCCTGGTCAGTAGTTGAGGTGACTGAAGGTAACACTGCCTAAATGTTAAATGCTTGATAAAGAAAGCAGTAGTTGGGCACCTAAGGGAAAAATTCCAAATACTGACTCCTGTATTTGTGCTAAATCTTCTAGTCTTCGCAATCAATATCATTTACTTTGTACACTTTAACATTTATGAGTTCGACTATCCCCACGCATGGATGTCTCCAAAATCCAAACCTTTAACTCCAATTTCTTTCTGATTCTAGTTCCACATCTCTACTAACCACCTACACATGCTTCTATATTATCTCAAACTAAAGACACCTATAAACAAGTTCATCACATTTCCCACTACAGACATTTTCTGTGTCTTTTCCTAATTTAAAACCATTCTCCTCCCAGTTGCCAAGGTATAATAACTTTTGCTCCCCACATTTGAACAGACATCAAGTGCTGTTGAATCTTCATTTCTAACTTCTCTTTCCCACAAGGATTTTCATTTCTAATTTCTCTTTCTCACAAGAATCTTCATTCCTAATTTCTCACCCCAGCTAAAGGCCCTCTTCAACTCTTGCCCAGGCAGTTGCAAGTTACTTCATCCAGCATATTCTATACACCAAAGCTATGAGGAGTTGTAAAACATGCCTTTGATCATCATTTGCCATTGAAAAGCCTTCAAGGATTTCTCTATCTCACTACTGCTGAGTGTGATCCAGGGATCTAAGAGACACTGAAACCCTTTTAGAGGATTTCAGAGGTCAAAACTGTTTGCATAATAAAATGAAAATAATGCTGTTTTCATAATAATGCTGTTTTTCTACTTCATTCTCATTCTTTCATGAGTGTACAGAACTTAGCAGAGGCTAAATGACTGATAATACTGGAGTAGACTGAATTCAGATGCAGACATGAGAACCCAGACTCAGACAAGTACTGCCTGATCTCACTTATATGTGGAATCTGAAAAAGTCAAACTCAAAAAAGCAAATTGTAGAACTGTGCTTGCCAGGGGCCAGGGCGTGAGAGAAATGGGGGATTTTGATTAAAGACTACCAACTTTCAGTTATAAGATGGGTAATTTCTGTGGACCTAATCTACAGCATAATAACTATAGTTAACAATAATGTACTGTATACTTGAAATTGCTAAGAGACTAGATTTTAAGTGTTTTCATCAAAAAAAGGTAAATATGTGAGGTAATGGATGGGTTAATTAGCTCAATTGAGGAAATACATATCATTATATGTATATCAAAATATCACATTGTATATCTTAAATATAAACAATGTTTGTCAATCAAGCCTTAATAAAGATGGAAAAAAGTTAATTAATTAGGAGAATCAGTTGGGCACAGTGTCTCATGACTGTAATCCCAGCACTTTGAGGCAGGAGGATCTCCTGAAGCCTGGAGCTCAAGACCAGGCTGGGCAACACAAAGAAACTCCACTTTTAAAAAAAACTTTTTTTTAATTATGTGGGCATGATGGAGCATGCCTGTAGTCCTAGCTATTCAGGAGGCTGAGGTGGGAGTACGGCTTGAACTCATGTGTTCAAGGCTGCAGTAAGCTATGATTGCATCACTACATTATAGCCTGACAAATGAGCAAAATGCTGTCCCTTAAAAAAATTAATTAAATACATAAAGTAGAATCTATATACCATGTATTAAACCAGACATTAAAGAGATTTTCAAAAATTAAAATAAAACCAATGCCACTCTTCTCATAAAAGTGTTCGTTTTAGAAAGTGTTTTTTAAAAATAACGTTGTATTTACACATAATGAGTATATTGCTGTCATTTTAAAATAGATGACTTTAACATTTCTCAGTTTTAATCTCTTACACAATAAATATGAATAGATTCTAAGAGCAAAATGTGTGAAAACTGCTGGATGATTTGAGGCACAGGCGCACCATGTGCCTGCCATTCCAGGCCATCTTCTCTAGATTCCAGTGTTGTATCTCCAATCTCAGCACCACAACATTCTGGTCAAATCCTCTGTCGCTGGCACTTTCATCTACCAATGGTGGCCTCAATGCTATAAACACTTCTGCCTTTCTCCTTTGCTCATACCTTTCCCTCTGCCCAAAGTGTGTCCTGCCAATCCACGCAGACATAGCTCAAGCTTTCTCTTGTCTCTCTTAATCACTCCAATTCTACCCCTCACAGAGCAAATGGTATTGGTCATTGAAATGGTTTGGCTCTGTGTCCCAACCCAAATCTCATGTCAAATTATAATTTTCAGTGTTGGGGGAGGGACCTGGTGGGAGGTGATTGGATCATAGAGGCGGATTTCCCGCTTGCTGCTCTTGTGATAGTAGAGGAGTTCTCCCAAGATCCAGTTGTTTAAAAGTGTGCAGCACTTCCCCCTTCGCGCTCTCTTTTTCCCTCCACCATGTAAAGAAGGTGCTTGCTTCCCCTTCACCCTTCTGCCATGACTGTAAGCTTCCTGAGGCCTCCCAAAGCATGCTTTCTATACAGTCTGTGGAACTGTGAGTCAATTAAACCTTTTTTCTTCATAAAATACCCAGTTTCAGATAGTTTTCTAAAGCAGTGTGAGAATGGACTAATATAGTCCTGTACCTTGAATTAGTATCTTAATATTTTTTCTTGCTTCTCCAACCATACATTAAGGCTTTTAAGTAGAGGAATTCTTCATAGCATGGTAACATTGACTTACATATAATATCAAATTAATAACTGTGTGCCATTTAATTCATACAGAATTGCCATATCTCAATTTAAAAGCAGGACTATGATTCATCCAGAGTCACCTGTGGAGCCACTCAGGCTTGGCTCACAAATTCTCTAGACACCTCAACAGGAGACATGATGACCCACTGTCTGTGTCTCCTCCCTGTGCTATGAACACCCACCCCATGAGCCAGCTTGATAAGCTCACCATGCCACTGGCCTCAGCTTCATCTCCTTATCATCACTGGCCCACCCAAGGGATTCCTTGCCAACCCTAAAATAATCCTACAACCTGCAGACAGCAATAATACCTTGGGTTCTCTCCAATCGACTTTGTTTCTGAAACCACAGTGATTAAAAATATTGCTTATGTTTCTGATGTGTGGATTAAAGTACAGAAGACCAAGAAAGGATTTCAGACTGTGGAGGAGGTTGGGAGAGTTCATGAAGATGGAAGAATTCTCATAGTCATTCTCCAACTTAAAAAAAATTCATAAATGCAAATACTTGCTATTGCCATATACATACTTTCATATTTTAAAAATATATATTTAATGTCACTCTTCATGTTTCTCTAGACAAAAGAAATATATTATTTTCATTCTTCACTAATATTTTCCTCCATATTTTAGTTATTCTGATTATTCTCAAGCCAATGTCCATTCTGAAAGTATTAATCTGCAAAAGGAAAATTGAAATTCAAAAGAATTTCAAAAAATTATAGGATTTCTGGAAGGAGTATTGTAAAGCTCTTGATGTTACATTCCTATTAAAATACCCAGAGTCGGCTGGGCGTGGTGGCTCACGCCTATAATCCCAGCACTTTGGGTGGGCGGATCACAAGGTCAGGAGATCAAGACCATCCTGGCTAACACGGTGAAACCCCGTCTCTACTAAAAATACAAAAAAATTAGCCAGACATGGTGGCGGACGCCTGTAGTCCCAGCTACTGGGGAGACTGAGGCAGGAGAATAGCGGAACCTGGGAGGCGGAGCTTGCAGTGAGCAGAGATTGCCCCACTGCACTCCAGCCTGGGCAACACAGCTAGACCCCATCTCCAAAAAAAAAAAAATACCCAGTGTCTGGCAATGTGATACTAAATCTAAATCAATGAGATTAAAATCATTCTGGCTTTCCATACTACCTTTAGAATTGGTGAGCAGTTGAAAAGTCCTTACCTATTCCTGAGGCTGGTGTGAAGGAGTGGATTCTGTTAACAGCAGCAAAATCTACAGACTGAAAATACCTGAAGGAAGACTGTCCCATCTCCCAGATGAAAATATCAATTGAATTCTGATCTCCTGCAATAATGAAATAGAAGTCAAATCTTAATGCAAAAGTTACAGAAAAAAATGACAAAATTACATAATAAAACTATAATAAAAATATCAAGAAACAAATTTCCTCAGAATCCATTTAGTCCAATAAAAATACAAGTTAATAGGAAGTACTTCAAAAGTCTTTTTGCATTTACTGCATGACGGGAATACATTATTAGTCATTAACCATGATATAATGTTAAAGAAAGAACAAGGACAATTTTTTTTAATTTTTTTAGGAATGTTGCAATTTTACCCATGAAAGTTCTACTCAGCAGCAGAAAGCAAATTTTCCTTCCAAGAATATTCTGAAAGAGTCTTATAAAAAGTTCTGAACATTATTTACTAATACTATAAATTATTCATGGCACATCAAGTAAATACATATAAAAAGTTACTTGTTTGCATCCTGCGTATAAAATATTCATGTATCTTTCAACTTTACCTACCTACTTCCAATTTTGTTTTCATATAACTTTCAGGTAGTAGTCAGAACACAAGATTAGGGGTATAATGCTTAAATATTTCTCAAAAATCCATTTACAGCTGACAATTAATACTTATCTATCAAGAAATATTCTATGGATTAGTAAAAAATTATTGCAAGAGCATTTTCATATAAAATATACCATATGAATGCTAGATGATTTCAATAATTATATATACACTACAAATACTTTATCTTCTCACCTAGAAAGACATTTTCGGCAAATATTAGGTAAATATCATTGGCTGAAGACAAAGCCTCAACTTCTGTTGTCCCACTGACAGGCACCTCTTGAAAGTTAATAAACCCACTGCCAGACCATCTGAATAAAAGGGAGTTTAGCCTGGCATTAGCCTGGGAAATGGCTAAGAACACAGAGCCTCCCTTGTTGAACAAGGCCACGGTCAGCACACCTCGGACAGGGAGTTTTTGATGCAACACGAAGCTTCCTCCATTCCACCTGAAGACCTGAAGGAAATGTTGAAATACAAAACCCTTTATGACTAGGAATTTAGCACTTGCAAGAATGTAATCAATACCATATGTTTACTCTCTTGGATCCTTTTATTTAGTTAAAAAGATACTTTCATAAATAAGAAAATACTAAAACTGATGCTCCCTTGCTGCTCTCTCCCTTATCTAATCTGTGTGAGTGTGCACATATATGTCTATGCACATAAGTACACATACACACACACAGAGTGAATGAAAGAGAAGATATTTGAAAAGAAATCAGTATCAAATGTACATCTGGGTAAGGGTTGTTGACAGCAGGGAAAGGGAAAGCTAAAACCAGGAAATACACTACATATGAAAAATTTAGAACGGAATAAGAAACATTCTAATGCTGCAATATTATTATCAATTGCTCGAGCAATAGAATACAGAGAAACACCTAAATCCTTTCTGTCCCCATGGTGGCAGTCAACGTATGCAAGTTTTCAGGGTAAGTGTTCATAAATGCAAAATTAAAATTCAGACCCTACCTGAAGGCAAGCTGGTCAATGTCACAGAAAATTATACTTATTCAGTCAACAATTAGGAACTTTTGAGCCACAGACATTATGCTAAGAACTATGGATACAGCGACCTTTCCCTTTATGGATCTTATTAACTATTAGGAAAAGGTAAACAAGAAACATATCAATAATTAAGTCAATGTATAAGTATAAAATGAGTCAAGTACTGAAGATGACAATTAGGATGGTCTGATAGAGAATTATGAAGGTATTTGGGAAATCAAGTTAGAAGGAACAACATGACAAAGTTCTTAAGACAGAAAAAATTTGTCATTATCTGAATAAAGACTGGAAGGAATCTGATAGTGCTGGGAGAATGATGAGAGTTAAGGCTGGAGAGGTAAGATCATCATGGAGTACCTTCCATTAGGATGACCATATAATTAATCACCTAAACAGGGATCCTTTAAAGAGTGAAAGGGGCAATATTAATAACAATACCAGAACAGGCATAATCCAGTACTTTCCAAGGCAAATCAGGAAATATAGCTATCCTATGTTAAGCCCATATTAAATAATTTCAAATTTATTCTAAGTATAATTGCAAATCATTGAGTGGTTTTAAAATCAGAAATAACATTAGTCAATTAATATTTTTAAAAAATGCCTCCAGTTACTCAATGGAGAATGGATCTGAGGAGGTCAAGGAAATTCAGAGAACAGCTAGGAGGACACTATAATGGTGTGGAAGAGAAATAATGGGGACCTGGAGTAGGGAGGAGTAGAGACAAAATGTCTTCACTTATTGACACATATAATCAAAAATACTTAATGATAAACTCGATGTGAAAGAATAAAAAGGAGTAAGTTCAAGACCAGCCTGAGAAACATGGTGAAATCCCATCTCTACAAAATACAAAAAATCAGCCAGGTGTGGTGACACACGCCTGTTGACCCAGCCACCCGGGAGGCTAAGGTAGGAGGATCACCAGAGCCCAGGAGGTCAAGGCTATAGTGACCTGTGATCATGGCACTGCACTCAAGCCTGGGCCACAGAGCCAGACCCCATCCCCCCCACTAATAAAAAGGAGTAATCAAGGAAGAAATATCCCAGGATTCTGTCCTAAGCAACTGAGTTCGTGGGGTTGCTATTTCCTGAGATGAAAGCTAGCACTGAAGTAACAAGTTTCATAGTGGAAATCAAAGGTTCAGTTTGGGATATGTTAAATATTATGTACCAAAAATATATTTAAGTGAACATGTCAATAGGCAGTTAGGTATGTAGGCCTGGAATACAGAGGAAAGGCTACAGATATAATTTAAAATACGCTAGCCTATTGCTGATATTTAAAACCACAGGATTGATAAAAGTATCCAAGTGAGTGAAGAGAAAGAAAAAAGAAATTTGAACTATAAGTGAATCTTTCTGGAAAACTCCAAGACATCTAAGTTTACGAAAGGGAAGAGGAACTGGCAATGGGGACTGAGAAGGATCACACACACACACACACACACACACACACATACCCAGAGAGAGAAAGGGAAAAGGAAAATTTGTGTAGTGTGTTAGAAAGCAAGGTAAGATTTATATTTGAGGATGAGGTGACTGTCACATGCTGGTGGAATGTATAATGATTACACAGAAAAACACCCACTGGATCTGGTAATGCAGTTGTCATTGGTGAGCACGGGGAAGTAAAGACAAAACAAGTAGAAAATTCTTTCAGGATGTCTTACTATAGAAGGGAGAAAGGAAATGAAATGAAAACTAGAAGGGAATGAGATCAAGGGAGGAATTTCTTTTTAAGCTGGGTGAAGCTAGAACATTTAGGCTGATTGTAGTAACCAAATAGAGAGAGAGATGTCAGAGATGGAGGGAATAGCTAAACCTTATAAGGACAAGGTGGGCACTTATGTGAGAGGCCTGGCTTTTTAGAAGGGACACTTTCTCTGTCGTAGCAGGAATGAGGACTAAGATTGGGTTTCAAGTGGGTTTTTGAATTTGGTGTTGGGAAAATGAATAATACCCCTTTTGGTAGCTTTCACTTCAACAAGGGAATTAGCTGAAAATGGAATTGTGAAGCATGTATGGAAGTTTAAGGAGTGACAAAAGTTATCAAATAAGCATTACTAGAATTACAAGATCTAGTTTACTAAAGAAATGTGGGATTTCTGAGGTGATACTGAATGCCTGTGTGGCAATGCTAATCATGAATTTTTAGTGATACTCTGTCTGGCTGTGTGATGTTTCTCCACAATGTTTTGCAATTCAGTTAAATTCTAATTAAATGTTCATTTTTATTGTTACATTATCCTTGGCTCTTGAAGATAATATAACATTTTATGACTCTGGTATTTAAAAATTAACTTTTAACTAACCAGTCTTTACATTCTACTTTACCACAATCAAATTTTGGTTTTCTTTTATACTAAACCAGCAGACCATACCTTTGGTAAATTTCAATTATAATGTTAAAAAGAAAAGCAAAAAAAAACCCACTTCATTTTAAAAGAATCAAACCTGAGTTAATTCGGAATCATCTCTTTGACTTGCAATGATTAAATAATCTTGGCTGTCTGAAGTAAAATATCTTACTTGAGAACTTTCCAGAATAATGATTGTTTGTACCTGCAAGGACAGAGTGGGAATGAAAACTTAAAGGAGAGTTGAACTAAGAAAGCCACTGAACACACTAATAGCATGAGTTAAAATCTGAAGTGCAAGACTTAAAAAATTTTAATACCAAGCTACACATAACTAAGTGTCATTTTAAAAAGACAAAAATATCCCCGGATTAAGATACTTTGCTAAAATGTATATCAACTCACAAAAAGTCCTTTTTCACATTAACATAAAACATACATTATCTTCCAATTTGAACAATCTTACAAATCTTAATTTCTTTTAAAGAAAGTAATCTATTTAAAAATGAAAATGTTTTTACCAGGAATAATTTAAATCCAGATGTGAATGTAAACACACTGTTAAGAGAAGGCTTTTCTTCATTTCTTTCTTCATGAGTAATCACAAAGTAGGGAGAAAAACCAATATTAAAGGCCTCACAAGTTTTAGGATTTTCTATATTTAAATCCTAGAAAATGAGGAATAAGAATACAGTTATTCATTATACATCTAAAATTTATCTGCACATTTTATTTTTGTACTATAAAAAAATACTGATGTTTACCTCAACTGGAATAAAAATCCCCTGCCATCGGTAAACAGTAACAGATGATTTTCTTAACATTATACCATATATTAAATTTTCCAAAGTAAAGAAACACCAGCCAGAAGCTGATTCATCCAAAAAACTTTGAAATACGGAAAACACAACATCCATTCCCCCTGAAAAACACAAATCATGGTTTACTAGTTTATTACTCCTTCAAAAACTTATCTATTCTAATTTATTGTTTAAACAATGAGACAAGTGCATTTGTGACTACAAATGAAAATTCTTTCATGACGTGTGTATGAGTGTGAAAAGACACAAGTGGGAAAACTTTAAAATAACTACAAATAATGAATTTGTACTACAAATAAGAATATTTTTAAATTATTATTTAAAAACCAAGAAAATTTGTTAAAGCTCTGCTTTATACCTACACATACTTTTCCAAGGTGTATTTAGAAATAAATACTAAATGTGGCTGGGCATGGTGGCTCACGCCTGTAATCCCAGAATTTTGGGAGGCCGAGGTAGGTGGATCACTTGAGGTCAAGAGTTTGAGACCAGCCTGGCCAACATGGTGAAACCGTTCTCTACTAAAAATACAAAAATCAGCTGGGCATGATGGTGTGCGCCTGTAATACCAGCTACTCGGATGGCTGAGGCACGAGAATTGCTTGAACCCGGGAGGCGGAGGTTGTAGTGAGCCGAGATAGTGCCACTGCACTCCAGCTTGGGTGACATGGCCAGACCCTGGCTCAAAAACTAACTAAATAAATACTAAATGTATATTTTAAAGGGAAATATGCAGAACATGATTTTTATCAACTTCTGTAAAGCTGATGAAAATATAACTGAGAAATTTTATAATAATAAATACTTTTTATAGAAATATGATATTTGGTTTAAAAAATTTACGCTATTAAATTTGAAATTATGCCTATCTAATTTTTCACTTACATTTTATACATTTTAAGAATGCCAAGCAGACTCACATATTTCAAATGGCTGTCAAGGTTTTATCAAACTGCTACAACTGGTACATGTTTTAAAATTCTGTACTACAAAAAAAAAGAAAAAAAAAGGGCAAAAATAAAAATCCCCTAACTAATGAGGAGTAAACATTTTTTAAAAAATGTATAGTCTCTTAACATGGCTGCTTCCCTCCAAAACATTAAGTTCTTTTTAAATTTTGGTTAATGGTGTGAACATGATGCAGTAAGAACAACTATCAAGGTTGAAACCTGGGCTCCCTATAAATGATTGATCATTTTTAGATTACTAATTCAAGAGAATTTGTCAATGCCTTACATGTAATATCCAATAGCAATTTCCTTTCCTAAAAATCCAGCATTTTAAATTTTTATGTTGCTCCCTTTTAAAGGTATACTGCAGATTTTTCATTTAGAGTCCCAAATGGTCCTGACATATGGACAAATCCTTCTCTACAATAATTCAAGACGACCACAAATGAAGAATAAGCAATGACTGCTAACAATTAAGAATCTCCGACATGTGCTCTCATGAGTACTTCCAAAAAACACATGCAAAGTCCAAGCGTAATGCAGAAATCTAAATTAGAAACCAGACTTTCTTTTTTGGATCCCATCTCAGCTTGTCTTCTAGACAACCATACCACTATTAATTATCTCCTTTTTCTTCTAAATATTTAACATTTCTCTACCTTTTCCATCCAACCTACACATGCTTGGGTCTCTCCAAACTAAACATGCAAAAAACCTCCGACACCACACCACTACTACCTTCTCCAGGTCCTATCTTCCCTGCCAAACTTCTTGAAATGGTTGCATATATTTGAGGTCTCTCTTCTTTCACCTCTATTCAAAATGGTATTAATTCCCCATCTTTCTATACAAATAGCCCTTTCTATGGTCATTAATGCCTTCTATGTTGCTAATTATAATAATTATTTTCCAGGTTCTCATTTTACTGGACTTCTCACCAGGGGTTGACACCGTTTACTTTTTCCTCCATTTTAAAGCACTCTTCTGCTGGTATCTGCCATCCTGTTTTCTCCTGAGTTTCCTACCAGGTCCCCTAAGTCTCCTTTGCTAGGCCATCATCCCATATCCTCAGCCATTCAAGTTGAACCTTCTTATAGTTCAGTCTATAGTGTCCTCTTCCCTTCTCCATCTTCAGCCTTTCTTTTCAGATTATTACATCAATTTCCATGACTTCAAATACAATATATATAGCTAAAGTTCCAAGGTTTATCTCTCCAGCAGAGACCTTTTTTTTTTTTTTTTTTTTTTTTTTTTTTTTTTTTTTTTGAGACGGAGTTTTTGCTCTTGTTGCCCAGGCTGGAGTGCAATGGTGCGATCTCGGCTCACGGCATCCTCCACCTCCCAGGTTCAAGCGATTCTCCTGCCTCAGCCTTCCCAAGTAGCTGGGATTATAGGCGTGCGCCACCAAGCCCGGCTAATTTTTTTTGTATTTTTAGTAGAGATGGGGTTTCTCCGTGTGGGTCAGGCTGGTCTGAAACTCCCGACCCCAGGTGATCCGCCCACCTCGGCCTCCCAAACTGCTGGGATTACAGGCATGAACCACCGCGCCCGGCCCAGCAGAGACCTTCTTTTGAGTCTAGAGAAATTTATTCTCAAAAGTAACTCAAATTCAAAATGTGTTAAACCACATTTATTTTACTCCCCTTACTAAAATACATCTATTCTTTTTTGGAATTCCATCTTAATGAATAGCATGAACCCCTTCTCCCATCCAACTGCACAAGCTAGAAGCCTGAGTCATCTTTGGTACTTCCCTGTCCCTCACCTTCATACTCAACACCTAGTCTAAGCTACCACCATCTTGCCTCCCTGTATCTTCACTTCTCTTCTGTATCAACCCATTATTTACATGGCACTGTGAATAATATCTTCAAAATCCATATATGATTATACCATACCACATTACATATGGTAACTCTCCTCCATTCCTAAACCACTCGAAGGCTTTCCATTAACACTATTATAAAGACTGGCAACTATAAAATATTCCTTAAGTTCTTGAATGATATGGTCTTGTCCAGCTATCCAAGCTCAACATTCCTCCTTATTTCTGTACCTACTATCCACTCAAGTTCTTCACTTATGTGTGCTTTTTATGCCTCAGTTTTCTGCCTTCACAGCTTCTCACTCTCACCTCCATGTTCTTCCAACCCAGTCCTTTGCATAATCAATCTCTACTCATCATTCAGTCTTAGCTCAAAGATCAATACCCCTTGAAAGCATTCCCCTATATTCTTTCAACACTTAGAACTTCTCCTTTGACAAAAGCACTTACTAAAGTTTAAAGTATACATTGATTTTTACTTACTTGATTCATTTCTGTCACCCCCATCCCCTAAATTCTAAGATCCACGAGTTCAGTGCCATGCCTGGCATAGGCACTAAATACATATTTTATTTTATTTTATTTTATTTTATTTTATTTTATTTTATTTTATTTTATTTTATTTTTATTTTTATTTTATTTTATTTTATTTTTTAGACCAAGTCTTGCTCTGTTGACCAGGCTGGAGTGCAGTGGCACGATCTCGGCTCACTGCAAGCTCCGCCTCCCAGGTTCACGCCATTCTCCTGTCTTAGCCTCCCGAGTAGCTGGGACCACAGGCGCCTGCCACTACGCCCGGCTAATTTTTTGTATTTTTAGTAAAGATGGGGTTTCACCATGTTAGCCAGGATGGTCTCGATCTCCTGACCTTGTGATCCACCCGCCTCGGCCTTCCAAAGTGCTGGGATTACAGGCATGAGCCTCAACACATGAGCGCCCAGCCTCAACACATATTTATAGATGCAATAAAAGAATTAGATTATCTGTTTTCCATTTTCAAATGATCAATAACATACAATTCAAAGGAAAAAATATAAATCTTATACATGCAATATTTTTTCGTTACAGAATTTTGTTCTCATAAGAAATGAAACATACTCATGCCAAAGGCTGTTTCAGATACTGTCTCCCACTGCACACTCACAGCCAAATCAATGCCATTAGTTCGAGATACATTTAAATACACGGTCCTATTGGCTTCTTCGATGTCTATGGAGGTGGCTCTGAAAGAAATACATGGATTGAGGGAAGCAGAAAAAGTATACATTCTACATATTTGAAATATATATCATATTGCTAGCATATACTTAATACATTTTTAAATTTACACAATCCAAGATGAGATGATAAGAAAATACTAAAAATCAGTTACTTCAGTAACTTTGCACTCTATATTCTGAAAAAGAAATAAAATTGTCATTCTTATGTTTCTTCACACATGTATCAAAAACACTTTATAGGAAAAAAATGAGTCAGGAAATTAACATATTAATGAAACTAGATCTATTAAAATATTTTTATGATATAAAAAATAAATATTTGTCAGCCTCTAGAAGAAATTTTAAAACCACAATCATGTTAATATATATTTGAAGAGTCATTCACTTGGTTTGAGCAGTTAAGTCTGCTTTCTATTATTTCTTGCTTTTTATTATTTTTAAAACACAAAATAGTACAGACCTTTACCTGAAAGTGTGAACTCTGAGAAAATAAGAATTCTAATAACACCATTCTAATAACAGGGTGAGTTTAGGTTTTTGATACTCCCAGTTAGGAGAGTAACTGGTCTCTCTAGACCTATCTTTTCTAGAGTTCATTTTAAAAATCCCTTTTAAAATAATCAGATATCAATTTCCTTCTGCATTTTCTTATGTCAAAAAATATTCCCTACTTATAGCTTCAGAAGTGATAATTTCCTTATGAATAAACTATACCTATTTTCAACTGCAGAGATACTGAATAGCCCCAAAGGGGCCTGGTTTTGCAAAACTGTTATCAGGGTTTGAACATGCACCCCTAGTCTAGCACCTCCAGTTGGATTAAACAAGGTGCAAACAAAATACTCATCCATTTCTGGTTCCGTGTCTAATATGGCAGATATTTGTAGGGCCTGAAAACAAAATCAAAAGATAAGGTTACTAGAATACAGTATTTTTGTAACACATATATAGCGAAATCTACTGAACATTTCTGACAACAAAATAGCATGTTTTGAAAAATATCATCTCACTTTGATTTAATACTGATTCCTATAATGTGATGGTTACATCTGTTTCAGGTTACTACTTTTAGGATTTTCAACTTTGTGATATACTGCACTAAAGTGTCCAAAAAATATTTAGTGCATTTTAAAATAACATTGATTAAAAATTACATCTATGTCTTCATTTTTGTGAACTTTTTGTCCTGCTCTGGCTACATAACTTGATTAATCTCATTCTAATCTAGGGTTCACTGTTAAAAAAACATTTGTAGTCATAGCAGGCACAAATTAGAAACATCCGAACGTTCATCAGTGGGAGAACAGACAAACCAATAGTGGTCTATTTTATAAAATGCTACTCAGTGATTAAAAAAAATGTCCAACTACTGATGCATGCAACCATACAGACCTAAACATTATATTGAGTGAAAGAAGCCAGACACAAAAGAGTACACACTGTATGATTCTATTTATATGAAGCTCAAGAACCAGCAAAATGAGTCTTCAATGATAGAAATCAGAAAGTAGTTTCCTCTGGAAAGGGGAAGAGACAGGGGGAATCTTCCGGGTGATGATAATGTTAAATACATTTATTTATTTATTTATTTATTTATTTATTTATTTATTTATTTATGAGACAGAGTCTTGTGCTGTCACCCAGGCTGAAATGCAGTGGCACTCTGTTCACTGCAACCTCCACCTCCCAAGTTCAAGTTATTCTCCTGCCTCAGCCTCCTGAGTACCATTCAGGTACACACCACTACACCCAGCTAGTTTTTGTATTTTTGGTAGAGATAGGGTTTCACTATGTTGGCCAGGCTGGTCTCGAACTCCTGACCTCAAGTGATCCGCCCGCCTAGCCCCCGGAAGATTACAGGCGTGTGCCACTACGCCCAGCTTTAATGTTAAATATTTTAATCTGAGTGGTAGTTACATGTATGTATATATATATCTTTACAGTCACTAAGCCATATACTTAAGATTTGTGTATTTTACTACTTATACCTCAAAATAAAAACTTTTTGGAATAAAAACAGTTATGTCGGTTAAAAAATTTATTTAATCCAATTTGCTCTAACATTTAATTTGCCTAATAAAAAGAAAAGTATATAGCTATACTGTGAAAAAGGAGTCTTTTATGAAAAAAGTCACAGTAAAAAAAAACAACAAATTTGAGAAAAATTTTAAAGATGAAAAAACATGAATAAAGCAATAGAAAATTAATAAAATATTTCAAATTTGAATTTTTATATATATATTTCAAGATTTAAATGTAAGTGATCTTGCACAAACCAATTAAGGTTTTAAATTTCCAAAATGTGAAAAAAAACCATGACAATGAATATGCATTTGCAAATGTGCTGAAGTTACATAAAATGATCATTTAAAAAAATAATTATTAGATGGACTGTTTTAGACAAAATAGCTTTAAATCTATTATTTTAGATTTATTATATTTTCTACAGCAGGCTTGAAAAATGCCTAAAGCTAACATAATCAGCTATTTTATTTTATTTTATTTTCACAATAATAGGAGCTTTATTGACAAGAGTCAAAAGGTGGAAACAACAGATAGCTGGATTTAAAAATTACGGTATATACATACAATAAAATATAATCTAGCTGTGAAAAGGGAATGAAGTTCTGATACCTGTAACAACACAGATGCACCTTGAAAACATTTTGCTAAGCGAAGGAAGTCAGACACAAAAGGGTAAATACTGTATAATTTCACATATGCGAAATATCTAGAATAGGCAAATTCATAGAGACAGAAAGTAGACTGGAGATTACTAGGGAGAGGAGTAATAGGGAGTTACTACTTAATGGGCACAGAGTTTGTCCTTGGAATGATGAAAAATTTTGGAAATAGATGGTGGTGATGGTTGTACATTGCTGTGAATATAATTAATGCCACTGAAACGTTCACTAAAAATGGTGAAAATGGTAAATCTTATATTACACGTATTTTTCCACAATAAAAAATGAGTCAAAATAATCACAGGCCCGGCACAGTGGTTCATGCCTTTAATCCCAACACTTTGGGAGGTTGAGGCGGGCAGATCACTTGGCACCAGGAGTTTGGGACCAGACTGGCCAATATGGTGAAACCCCATTTTTACTAAAAATACAAAAAATTAGCTGGGAATAGCTGGGCGTGGTGGCTCATGCCTGTAATCCCAGCACTTTGGGAGGCTGAGGCGGGCGGATCACGAGGTCAGGAGATCGAGACCATCCTGGCTAACACGGTGAAACCCCGTCTCTACTAAAAATACAAAAAATTAGCCAGACATGATGGTGGGCGCCTGTAGTGGTGGGCGCCTGTAGCCACTCAGGAGGCCGAGGCAGGAGAATGGCATGAACCCGGAAGGCAGAGCTTGCAGTGAGCTGAGATCGCGTCACTGCACTCCAGAATCACTTGAACCTGGGAGGTGGAGTTTGCAGTAAACCTAGATTGCGCCACTGAACTCCAGCCTGGATGACAGAGTGAGACTCTGCCTCAAAAAAAAAAAAAAAAAAAAATCACATTTGCAACATAATCTTGCAAATTGCTTTTTTTTTTATTATACTTTAAGTTCTAGGGTACATGTGCACAACATGCAGGTTTGTTACATATGTGTACATGTGCCATGTTGGTGTGCTGCATTTTAAACTTAAACTGTTTTAAAAAATAAAGTTTAGTAGCAGGAACAGAAAATTGTTAATATATAGAAAAAGAGGTTTGGGAAGGTAAACTGTGAGTATAGATCATATTTATCCCAAATCCAGCATTTTTTTCTCCAATAAACTATTCTTGTTGTCAAACAAGCAGTCTGAAGTAAGCAGTTACATTTTGTTCAACAAAAATGTGGTGAAAGGGAAATGATTGGCTGGGACTTAATGTTTACAAAAGTTGGCTTGGGTTTTCTTTTATATGGTTTATACACAATATAAAGTGACATATGCAATTTAAATGTGCTGAAAATTTAAAATAGCCATACATATATTTTCTTTATTATTTGCATATTCTTTTACCCTATTAATAGTAAATTTTTCCAGTTGCGCTTTATACAGAGTAAATAGAACTACAGCACTTGTCACATAGTAAATGAATCATGTCTTTGTCTAACACCTAAGCTGGAAGTATTGTTTTTTCATTCTAGGACTTGAGTGCTCATCTAAGAGAAATTTATTTTGTAAATATTAAAGATAAACTTCCATTCTCATTAAAGCTTCTTACTGTACCTTGAATCGAACACCTTCTTCTAAAACAATATAGCCTTTGGAAGGAGTCAGATCTTTAGATTCATTTGAGGAATTCACTTCTGTCACAATGAACTGAACTGTCACTGTTCCAAACAATCCTTGTGCAGGTTCCCGAACAATGTACAATACTGCAACACTCTCCTGGACGTAGAGAGCTGTTGGCTCTCTTAGGAAAAAGTGCTCACTGTTGTTAAATGATAGAACTCCAGGGCCGTCATCATTAGCAAGGACAATAATTAAGGCTGCCAAAATAAAAATATTAAAGCAACAAATGAAAATAGAAGAGGTTATAAATGCTGAAAAAAGTGTGGATGTCTAATTGAAAACTAGGCCAACTCTTTACCTAAGGTGATTGTCTTAAGATGATCTTAAAAATGACAGAATTTTTTAAAGCATTTAATAAAATAACATATTCAATCATGATAGAAAAATACTCAGTAATCTTGGGATAAAAGGCAGCTTCCTTAACCTGATGAAGCAGTATCTCTCAGAAGTCAACAACAAATATCAAATATTGAAACATTAGCAGCATTCCCACTAAAAACAGAAACAAAATAATAATGTCTGTCATAATTGTTACTATTTAACAGTGTCCCAGGGCTATCAGCCAGATAACACCTGTAAAAGTAGTGGAAAGAGTCAGAACTGTCACTATTTTCTAGATGACATGATTGTCTACTAAGAAAATGTAAGAGAAAATATTAGAACTACAGTAAGAACACAAAGCAAGCTGAGTAACCTTCACAAATCAAGAGTGTTCTATTTTTTACTGTCACTTATATTAATAATAATTACAACTAATACTATTAAGAACTTACTAATTGCTTAACCTATATTAACT